>NC_000003.12:133402543-133554058 GCF_000001405.40 Homo sapiens | reverse complement strand
TGGTCAATTTTGGAATAGGTGTGGTGTGGTGCTGAAAAAAATGTATATTCTGTTGATTTGGGATGGAGAGTTCTGTAGATGTCTATTAGGTCCACTTGGTGCAGAGCTGAGTTCAATTCCTGGGTATCCTTGTTAACTTTCTGTCTCATTGATCTGTCTAATGTTGATAGTGGGGTGTTAAAGTCTCCCATTATTATTGTGTGGGAGTCTAAGTCTCTTTGTAGGTCACTCAGGACTTGCTTTATGAATCTGGGTGCTCCTGTGTTGGGTGCATATATATTTAGGATAGTTAGCTCTTCTTGTTGAATTGATCCCTTTACCATTATGTAATGGCCTTCTTTGTCTCTTTTGATCTTTGTTGATTTAAAGTCTGTTTTATCAGAGACTAGTATTGCAACCCCTGCCTTTTTTTGTTTTCCATTTGCTTGGTAGATCTTCCTCCATCCTTTTATTTTGAGCCTATGTATGTCTCTGCACGTGAGATGGGTTTCCTGAATACAGCACACTGATGGGTCTTGACTCTTTATCCAATTTGCCAGTCTGTGTCTTTTAATTGGAGCATTTAGTCCATTTACATTTAAAGTTAATATTGTTATGTGTGAGTTTGATCCTGTCATTATGATGTTAGCTGGTTATTTTGCTCGTTAGTTGATGCAGTTTCTTCCTAGTCTCGATGGTCTTTACATTTTGGCATGATTTTGCAGTGGCTGGTACTGGTTGTGCCTTTCCATGTTTAGTGCTTCCTTCAGGAACTCTTTTAGGGCAGGCCTGGTGGTGACAAAATCTCTCAGCATTTGTTTGTCTGTAAAGTATTTTATTTCTCCTTCACTTATGAAGCTTAGTTTGGCTGGATATGAGATTCTGGGTTGAAAATTCTTTTCTTTAAGAATGTTGAATATTGGCCCCCACTCTCTTCTGAATTGTAGGGTTTCTGCCGAGAGATCCGCTGTTAGTCTGATGGGCTTCCCTTTGTGAGTAACCCGACCTTTCTCTCTGGCTGCCCTTAACATTTTTTCCTTCAATTCAACTTTGGTGAATCTGACAATTATGTGTCTTGGAGTTGTTCTTCTCGAGGAGTATCTTTGTGGCATTCTCTGTATTTCCTGAATCTGAATGTTGGCCTGCCTTGCTAGATTGGGGAAGTTCTCCTGGATAATATCCTGCAGAGTGTTTTCCAACTTGGTTTCATTCTCCCCGTCACTTTCAGGTACACCAATCAGACGCAGATTTGGTCTTTTCACATAGTCCCATATTTCTTGGAGGCTTTGTTCGTTTCTTTTTATTCTTTTTTCTCTACACTTCCCTTCTCTCTTCATTTCATTCATTTCATCTTCCATCACTGATACCCTTTCTTCTAGTTGATCGCATCGGCTCCTGAGGCTTCTGCATTCTTCACGTAGTTCTCGAGCCTTGGCTTTCAGCTCCCTCAGCTCCTTTAAGCACTTCTCTGTATTGGTTATTCTAGTTATACATTCGTCTAAAGTTTTTTCAAAGTTTTCAACTTCTTTGCCTTTGGTTTGAATTTCCTCCTGCAGCTTGGAGTAGTTTGATCGTCTGAAGCCTTCTTCTCTCAACTCGTCAAAGTCATTCTCCATCCAGCTTTGTTCCATTGCTGGTGAGGAACTGTGTTCCTTTGGAGGAGGAGAGGCGCTCTGCTTTTTAGAGTTTCCAGTTTTTCTGCTCTGTTTTTTCCCCATCTTTGTGGTTTTATCTACTTTTGGTCTTTGATGATGGTGATGTACAGATGGGTTTTTGGTGTGGATGGCCTTTCTGTTTGTTAGTTTTCCTTCTAACAGATGGGACCCTCAGCTGCAGGTCTGTTGGAGTTTGCTAGAGGTCCACTCCAGACCCTGTTTGCCTGGGTATCAGCAGCAGTGTCTGCAGAACTGCAGATTTTCGCGATCCACGAATGCTGCTGTCTGATCGTTCCTATGGAAGTTTTGTCTCAGAGGAGTACCCGGCCGTGTGAGGTGTCAGTCTGCCCCTGCTGGGGGTGCCTCCCAGTTAGGCTGCTCGGGGGTCAGGGGTCAGGGACCCACTTGAGGAGGCAGTCTGCCCGTTCTCAGATCTCCAGCTGCGTGCTGGGAGAACCACTGCTCTCCTCAAAGCTGTCAGACAGGGACATTTAAGTCTGCAGAGGTTACTGCTGTCTTTTTGTTTGTCTGTGCCCTGCCCCCAGAGGTGGAGCCTACAGAGGCAGGCAGGCCTCTTTGAACTGTGGTGGGCTCCACCCAGTTCGAGCTTCCCAGCTGCTTTGTTTACCTAAGCGAGCCTGGGCAATGGCGGGTGCCCCTCCCCCAGCCTCGCTGCTGCCTTGCAGTTTGATCTCAGACTGCTGTGCTAGCAATCAGCGAGACTCCGTGGGCGTAGGACCCTCCGAGCCAGGTGCGGGATATAATCTCCTGGTGCGCCGTTTCCTAAGCCTGTCGGAAAAGCGCAGTATTTGGGTGGGAGTGGCCCAATTTTCCAGGTGCCATCTGTCACCCCTTTCCTTGACCAGGAAAGGGAACTCCCTTGCGCTTCCTGAGTGAGGCAATGCCTCGCCTTGCTTCGGCTGGCGCAAGGTGTGCTGCACCCACTGTCCTGTGCCCACTGTCTGGCATTCGCTAGTGAGATGAACCTGGTACCTCAGATGGAAATGCAGAAATCACCCGTCTTCTGCATTGCTCACGCTGGGAGGTGTAGAACGGAGCTGTTCCTGTTCGGCCATCTTGGCTCCTCTGGTTTTTGTTTTTTAAAAATTTTTTGTAGCCATTTCCAGGAATCTTAATGACTTCAATGTCCTTAAAGCTCATAACATGGCTTTACTATCACCAGCTTAATTTTTTTTTTTTTTTTGAGATGGGGTCCCACTCTGTCAGCCAGGCTGGAGTGCAGTGGTGGGATCACAGCTCACTGCAGCCTCGAACTCCTGGGCTCAAGTGATTTTCCTGCCTCAGTCTCCTGAGTAGCTGGGATTACAGGTGCGTGCCACCATGCCCTACTAATTTTATTTTTTGTAGAGATGAAGTCTTGCTACGTTGCCCAGGCTGGTCTTGGACTCCTAGGCTCAAGTGATCCTCCTGCCTCAAGCCTCCTAAAACGCTGGGATTATACGTGTGAGCCACCACTCCTGGTTAAATTTCTTTTTTTTAAATTTAAAACATGTTATGGGAGAAGAAGAAGAGGAATTCTCTTCACCTCTACTTAAGGGGAGTGGCTAGTGCATGCAGGGATGTGAGAAATTAATGGCAGCCAAGTTTGGAAAGTTGGGCAGGACAAAAGCTGGTGATACTGATTTTTGATGGAAAAACAGTTGAGGTCTAGGGGCATGGCATGCCTCTAGAGGCCTGCAGCCTTGTGCAGTTGCCCAGGACTCTGCTCTCAGAAATGGCAGGATTGCTCTTGGACACTCAATTAAATGCTCTGTTGTCAGCCATCTTTAAATTCTTGATAATTTTTTAACAAGGGGGCTGGGCGCAGTGGCTCACACTTGTAATCCCAGCACTTTGGGAGGCCAAGGTGGGCGGATCACGGGGTTGGGAGATAGAGACCATCCTGGCTAACACACGGTGAAACCCCGTCTCTACTAAAAATACAAAAAAAAAAAAAAATTAGCCGGGCGTGGTGGCAGGTGCCTGTGGTCCCAGCTACTGGGAAGGCTGAGGCAGGAGAATTAGCGTGAACCCGGGAGGCGGAGCTTGCAGTGAGCTGGTATTGCACCACTGCACTCCAGCCTGGGCGACAGAGTGAAACTCCATCTCAAAAAAAAAAAAAATTTTTTTTTTTGAACAAGGTGCCCTGCATTTACATTTTGCACTGGGCCCTGAGAACATGATCATAGCTCTCTTATTCCAAGCCTCTTCACAAGGAAGATTTTTCCATTCCTTTAGAAAAGTGGAGGAAGGGAAAGACAAGGAGAAAAAGAAAGTATTTAAAAGTCCTTAACAGAAGAGTGGTGGGCTGGGAGTGAGGGGCAGGGCCTTATTTTTAGCAACCATTGCTCCAGGTTAGAACAGAGACAGTTGAGAAGTGTTGTTCTATTTACTGGACATTGACAAAAAACTTCTGGCTAAGAAGAGTGGTGTTACTGAAATGGGATTCTGAAGTCTTACAAGTTTACTTAGCCTTTCTAAGTCTCTGTTTCCTCCTCTAAAACAGTATATTAACCCTACAGCATGTTGGTGAGGATTAAGTGTTGGTAAAGATTAATACAGAAATCTATTTATTTATTTATTTATTTTTTGAGACAGGGTCTTGTTTTGTCACCTACGCTGGAGTGCAGTGGCGCAATCACAGCTCACTGCATCCTTGACCTCTAGGGCTCAAGCAGTCCTCCCACCTCGGCCTCCCAAAGTGCTGGGATTACCAGCATGAACAACTGCTCCTGGTCTGACTTCAAAGGAAATGATATGTCCTCTTTAAAGGAAATGATATGTGTACGGTTCCTGGCACATAGCAGTTACTAACACAGATTCTTGTTCATCAGTGGTCTTTGAAAGCTGGACTCTGGGAAGTCCATTCAATCGTTCGCTAAGTATTTACACATTAAGGGCCTATTAAAGTCACTGTGGTAGGCCCTGGAGGATCATGGAGCTTACATCATAAAAAGAAAGGCCCAGTTGACAACTCAAGGAGCTAACCCTCAAGTAGAGGTCATGAAACCAATGTATACATAATAGTGAATTGGTTCATTCAATACATATTTATTAAGCCCTAGAAAGATGAATAAGACACAGTCCCCACACTGAAGCCCACAGTCTGATAGGGAAGACACATTCCCCCAAATAATTATTCAAAGAAACTAGTGCTAATACAGGGATAAAAGCACTAGTGAAACTTTACTGAGAGGTTAGCTGTGTGGCAACTGATATTCACTATGACTCTTTGGTGTAGGTTTTATCATTGTCACTGCCATTTTTATAGATGAAGCAGACGTGATTTAGATAATTTATTTGCTTGAAATCAAGCAGCTTGCAAATGGTGGAGCTGGGATTGAATCCAGGGCTTTCTGTCTCCAAAAGCTATATATGTTATTATGTTGTGTGTGTGTGTGTGTGTGTGTGTGTGTGTGTGTGTATAATGCAAATAGATGGTATATATATTTACATACTAAATATGTTTCTACAAATGCATCTCACAGAAGAAGAATCAACCCATTCTGCTCAGGTAAATGGGGAAGGAAGCCCAGAGGGAGTGGCTTATGAATGAGTATAAAACAATTAGGACTTCAACAGGCAGAGAAAGAGGGAAGTCAATTCCAGGAAGAAAAAACATAATGTGCAAATATGTGAAGTTATGAAAATCCAGAGTGAGTACTTCAAAGAATAACAAGTTGGGCTGGGAATGGGGTGGCTCATACCTGTAATCCCAGCACTTTGGGAGGCCAAGGTGGGAGGGTCACTTGAGGCCAGGAGTTCAAGACCAGCCTGAGTAAAAAATAAAAAAATTTAAAAAAAAGGTTGTTTTGGAGCATCGAAGGAAAGAAAGTTCGTAAAACTTTATTTGGGAGATTCTGCAAGGCCTTCATATGGATTTTAAAGGATATGGAAGAGTTCCAAGGCCAAGTTCGGAAAGAAGACATGTTAGAGGAAATAAAAATCACTAGAAAAGCCATTAATGTGGGAAAATAAGATATCTGTTAGAGGATGAAGGAGTAGAAAAATTTTGAACGAAGTGTAGTCATGAGTGGTAAGTCTGAATAAGCCATGCTTAGAAATATTTTTGAATGCCAAGGCAAAGCCACATCTGTTTCATTTGACAGGCAGAGCTGAGGTCACAGTTGGCCTGAAGTGAAAAACCCGAATTCTTGCAGGGACTAGACAAGATTAGTGGTCTAGGCATAAAAATAATCAGGAGGCAACCATGACCCAACTCCAGCTCACACCACTCAAGAATACAGTCACCTGGCCAGAACCTTTGATTTTTCAAAAGAAGCAAAACAACAAAAATCCAAAAGCTTAGGTAAAATCTCATAATTTAAAATTTTTAGCAACTACTTAAAAATGTGTGCAGGTGGAACAAAACTTGTCTAAGTGCCAGATGAGGCCCCTGGGTAGCTACAGAAATGTCTGTTCTCCCCAGGTGTCTGCAGGACTAAGCTGTGGTGTGGAGAGCCGCTGGGCAGAGGTGGTACAGGGAGGATCAGAGAAAGCTCCAGCAAAAGGCTTCTGCTGCTCTAACTTTCTTTCTATCCTGATGAAGAAACCCAAAAGCATTCCTCTCTGAGGTATTTGCATTTTTGGAATTTCTTTCTATTTTTGTCTTTTGGAATCCTCCCTAGCACTGGTTTGCTGGGGAACTATGAACTGGGCCTGGCAGCTTGTGTTAGGCTGTTTTTGCATTGCTATAAAGAAATACTTGAGACTGGGTGGTTTATAGTAAAAGAAGTTTAACTGGCTCATGTTTCTGCAGGCTATACAGGAAGGATTGTGCTGGCATCAGGACTCAGCTTCTGGGGAGGCCTCAGGGAGATTTTATTCTCAGCAGAAGGCAAAGCAAGGAGCTTGCACGTCACACAGCAAACACAGGAGCAAGAGAGAGTAGGGGAGGTGCCACGCACTTTAGACAACCTGACCCAACACCTCCCACCAGGCCCCTCCTCCAACACTGGGGATTACATTTCAACATGAGATTTGGCAGGTACACAGATCCAAACCATATCACAGCTGGTTTTCACTTTTCAGGCTTCCGAACAGAAAAGTCTTATATAACCGATCTCTTTTCAATGGTTAGTTGCTTGTCCCAAGGGTGAAGACTCTTATAAGCATTGTGTGTGTGTGTGTGTGTGTGTGTGTGTGTGTGTGTGGTGTAGGAGCAGGGGAGAGAGAGGGAGAAAAAGAGGGAGAGACAGCTTCCTTCTCCTGAAGGACTTTCTCAAGATTAACAGCATATTCTGTGGCCTGAGCTTTCTGAACCTGGCAGGAGCTGACTCTTATGGGAACAGAACTCTGCCTGTCATAGTCTCAGGTTGGGCCACTGACTTAGCTCATAATCTTGACTGACTACCTTAGATATAGAGGCTATTAGCAAACCATTGTAGAGGAAAATGTTCCTTTATATTATGCCTGTGAACCTCCATGCACTGGGATGAGAGGTAACATAGGGGAAGAAATATTAGAATCCGTGGAGCTAGAATAGAATGCTTTATTTACTGGATTACCTTGGTAAAGTCACCTCACCTCTCTGTGCCTTATTTCCTACAAGCATAAAAGCTAGCCAGAAATATTCACCTCACAGAGGTATTATGAAGATTCTATGAGATCATGGACACAGAAGTGCCTGACACCTGGTTATGCTGGATCAGAGAGAAAAGAATGAAGAAATTGGAGCTAAGGAGATGTGGATTTAAATCTTGACTCCACGACTTATAACGACAACTACCATGAATTCAGTAATTTCTATGTACCAGGCTCTGTGCATTACCTTTTTTTTTTTTTTTTTCAGACGGAGTTTCGCTCTTTCGCCCAGGCTGGAGTGCAGTGGCATGATCTTGGCTCACTGCAACCTCCGCCTTCCAGTTTCAAGCAATTCCTCTACCTCAGCCTCCCAAGCAGTTAGGACTATAGGCACCCGCCATCACGCCCAGCTAATTTTTGTATTTTTAGTAGAGACGGGGTTTCACCATGTTGGCTAGGCTGGTCTCGAACTCCTGACCTCGTGATCTGCCCGCCTTGGCCTCCCAAAGTGCTGGGATTACAGGCGTGAGCCACTGTGCCCGGCCCTCTGTGCATTATCTTTAAAATCCTTGCAACGAGATAAATCAGCGGGCCGGGCTGGCGGGTCGGTGAGCGCGGCCCGGGCCGGACATGGCGGCGCTCTACGCCTGCACCAAGTGCCACCAGCGTTTCCCCTTCCAGGTGCTGTCTCAGGGGCAGCAGCTGTGCAAGGAATGTCGGATTGCACACCCTGTTGTGAAGTGCACCTACTGCAGGACTGAGTACCAGCAGGAGAGTAAAACCAATACAATATGCAAGAAATGTGCTCAGAACGTGCAGTTGTATGGAACGAGAAATTAAGGTGGACTGTGTTAAAAACACATTTAATAGGCCGAGCGTGGTGGCTCATGCCTGTAATCCCAGCACTTTGGGAGGGCGAGGCAAGAATCATGAGGTCAGGAGATCAAGACTATCGTGGCTAACACGGTGAAACCGCGTCTCTACTAAAAATACAAAAAATTAGCCAGGCGTGGTGGCATGCGCCTGTAGTCCCAGCTACTCGGGAGGCTGGGGCAGAAGAATCACTTGAACCCGGGAGGCAGAGGTTGCAGTGAGCTGAGATCATGCCACGCACTCCAGCCTGGGTGACAGAGCAAGACTCCATCTCAAAAAAAAAAAAAACAAAAAAAAAAAAACACATGTAACAAAGAAAGATTTCTCAGTTTCTTTCCTGGTTCTATTATTGACCTTAAAGAAGATATTCATATTTTGTTTTGTTCATTCATAAAATGTGGACCATTATATTCTAACATTTCACGAGAATATGAATTACAGTCATCACGTAAGTGAAATGGTGATTGCCAGAATTCTGTGGAATCCTGTAAAGGAGAGATTGTAACTTAAGCAAGATGGAGTGGCATTACCAGTTTTACTATCTGGCTCTTTAAATGTTTCTATCTGTTGAAATTCAAGATTACAAGATTACGTTAGAGGGAAGCTCTACGTGGAAGGGTAGACCTTGATAGAATCAAAATGATTTAGAGTTTGGGCATATTACTCTCTTGCTTAAAATCCTCCACGGGTTTCCAGTTGTGCTTAGAATAAAACTGAAATCCCTTCTATGGCCTGCAAGGCCCATACCCAGCTCTCAGTCTCATCTTGCATCATACTTTCTACCTCTCACCTTGCTCCAGCCATCCTGGCCACCACCCTGTAGTCTGTCTGACATGCAGATCTCACTCCGACCTTTGCACTGTCTGTCCTTGTGCCTAATGCACCCTTCTCTAGAGTCTCATAACTGGCTGATCATGTCAGGTCTCAGCTCAGGTACCACCTGCTCACAGTGACCTTTTACTGACTCCCTTAGTCATTATTTATCATACCATTTTATTGTCTTCATAGCATCTCACATATTGAAAACTAGTCTTGCTTATTTGGTTACATGTTTGTCCACCCCGACTAGAATGTGAGCTCTTTGTCCATCTCATTCTCTGCTTTATTTCCAGTGGCCTGGCACATAGTAGCTGCTCAATAAGTATTTGTTGAATAAAAGATGGCAGTTGAGAAACTCTTTTTCAGTGACCAGAGGTGCTTTTAAGAGGTGCTTGGGCTCAAGGGGTGACTCTTGCTTACCAAATTCATTAACTTACAATGGAAGGATATAACTTTCCATTGACCAGGATACTCCTGCCTGCCAACCAGGACACCTCTTCCCTGTATCAAGATACTGAAGAATCTTAATTAGTAATCAGGAGGTAGCACAAGCAGCAGTCCCCCAAACCTGGGTCCCATCTGACTCCTGGGGCTAGCTGAATGACCCTGGCTACTTGGCCGCATTATGCATCACTTTCTTCATCTTTCTCCATGGGAATAACAATAGTTATTGTCTCACAAAGACATGTCTCACAAAGACATGGGGAAATGTAATTCAGATAGGTATATAAAACAATAATATTGAACCTGGCACATAATATAACTCAGAAAAAAATAAATAAATAAAATCCTTGCAACAACTCAGCATGAATGAAAGAATCATGATTATTATCCTCATTTTACAAATGAGGAAACTGAGGCACAGAGAGGTTAAAATAACTTGCCCAAGGCTTCACACAGGTAAGTGGTGAAGCCAGCCTATCTGATTCCAGAGCTTGTACTTTCTAGCTATGTAATTTAGTATAAGCCCCATAAGTTTTCTTATCCTCAGTTTCTACAGCTATAAAATGAGGGCATCTTTGTGAGGATTAAGAATAATGTATATAGGCTGGGCGTGGTGGCTCATGCCTGTAATCATAGCACTTTGTGAGGCTGAAGTGGGCAAATCACTTGAGGTCAGGAGTTCGAAATCAGCCTGGCCAACATGGTGAAACCCTGTCTCTACTAAAAATACAAAAATTAGCCAGGTGTAATGGTGCATGCCTGTGATCCCGGCTAGTTGGGAGGCTGAGGTAGAATTGCTTCAATCTGGGACACGGAGGTTGCATTGAGACAAGATCGTGCCATTGCACTCCAGCCTGGGTGACAGAGTGAGACTCCATCTCAAAAAAAAAAAGAAAAAAAGGAAAAGAAAATTTAAGAATAATGTATATAAAATGACTGTCACGGCAGTTCCTGATATTTCATAGATATTAACTATTTTTACTAACTCCTCAGTGTTACGGATTGAATTGCATTCCCTTGAAAGATGTTGAAGTTCTAACCCGTAGTGCCTGTGAATGTGACCTTATTTGGAAATGGGGTCCTTGCAGATGATTAAGTGAAGATGAAGACATTAGGGTGGAAAGTTTGGACTCAGAGACAGAGATGCACACAAGGAAAAGGCCATGTGAAGATGAAGAGATTGGAGTGACGCGCCAACAAGCCAAGGAACAACAAAGATCGCCACCAAAACACCAGAGGCAAGGAGAGAGGCCGAGAACAGATTCTCCCTCATAGCCCTTCGAAGGATCCAAGCCCATGACACCTTAATTTTGGACTTCTACTCTCCAGAGCTGTGAGAGGATACATTTCGGTTATTTTCAGCCACCCAGTTTACGGACTTTGTTATGGCAGCCTTGGGAAGCAAATGCACTCAGTACATGTTAATTTGTATCTTACCTACTTTGTACTTGCAAGGTGTCTCTGGGTCTCTGGTGTACACCACGGCCTGCCCTTGAGCATGCTGGGGTGCTCAGCACGGGGGTAGCCCTGCAGCCTGACTCTCTGTAGACAGATCAGGATCGGTCTAACATGGAATTATGAAGTGGAGCCAGGGTCAGCTTTGGGCCACGCCTGCCTTCTGTGCCGGCCTTGGATTATGTTCAAATTCATCTCATGCTACCCCAGCAGAAAAGAGTGTCTTCAATAAATTCACTCAAAAGGAGGTACCAGTGAAGAAATTGTCCCTCCCAAGTGAATGAGTCACACCCAAATGCTAAGATCTGATTCCTTGGTGCCTGGTTGGGAAAGATTTTGGGGTCAAGGAGGGGCCCACCCAGACTCCCACACCTGCGTGCCCTGTAGGCCATGCACCCCGCGTACTGTTCTCTGCACAGATCTCATGCTGCCAGACATCAGGGATCTTTTCTAGCAGAGAAGGCTATGTAAGCAGCCCAGGTAAACACCTCAGGCCTTCACAGAAATAAGGGCCACCTCAGAGAGCATTTGGAAATAGAGAGGTTAGAGGACCCAAGGGAGTCCAAGGGACTTATGGTTAAAGCTTGGAAAACAATTAGAGTTGGAATGCTCACCCAGCAGCAGCCAGGGGACCTGCCCAGCACTGCTCTCCAGAAACTCCAGGAGCAAAATTCTGTTAGGTTGATTTTCAGGAAAGGAAAAGAAATCCCCAAACAGAAAGATCATCACAGCTGTCTAAAACAGGGTAGGTTGGGCGCAGTGGCTCACACCTGTAATCCTAGCACTTTGGGAGGCTGGGGCTGGAGGATTGCTTGAGTCCAGGAGTTTGAGACCAGCTTGAGGAACATAGGGAGACCCCGTCTCTGAAAAAATTAAAAAATTAGCTGGGCATGGTGGTGCACACCTGTAGTCCCAGCTACTTGGAAGGCTGAGGTGGGAGGATCGCTTGGACATGGGAGCTTGAGGCTTCAGTGAGCTATGATCACACCACTGTACTCCAGCTTGGATGACAGAGTGATACCCTGTCACACACACACACACAAAAGGTAGATCCACTACACGATGTATCCATGTGACAAAATTACACTCGTACCCCATAAAAGTTTTTTTTTGTTTTTTAAATTTTAATTATTGTTTACCCCATACATTTATATAAAATACACACAACAGGGTGGAGAACATGATCCACTAATGTCCCCTGCTTCTGTTGGGGTGTAACAAACAACCTGTATAAGATATCTCTTGTTGGCCAGGTGTGGTGGCTCACGCCTGTAATCCCAGCACTCTGGGAGGTCAAGGCAGGCGGATCACCTGAGGTCAGGAGTTCGAGATCAGCCTGGCCAACATGGTGAAACCCCGTCTCTACTAAAAATACAAAAAAAAAAAAATTAGCCGTGGTGGCGTGCACCTGTAATCCCAGCTACTTGGGAGGCTGAGGCCGGAGAATTGCTTGAACCTGGGAGGTGGAAGTTTCAGTGAGCTGAGATTGTGCCACTGCACTCCAGCATGGACGAGAGAGCAGGGCGCCATCTCGAGAAAAAAAAAAATCTATTATTGTTGTTTAGTAAATTATCCCAAATTTAGCAGCTTAAAATAATACATCACAGGGACAGGATTCCATAATCAGCTTAGGCAAATAGTTCTAGCTCAGAAGCTCTCCTGAGGTTGCAGTTGAGCTTCAGCTGGGACTGCAGGCAGCTCAGGGCTTGGCTGGGGCTGGAGGGTTTACTCCCAAGATGGTGTCCTCACATGACTGTGTGTAGGAGGCCTCAGTTTCTTGCTGGCTGTTGTCCAAATGTCTCATTTCCTTACCATATGGGCATATGGTGACCAACCATCCTGGTTTGTCCAGGATTGAGGGAGTTCTCAGGATGTGAGACTTTCAGTGCTGAACCGGGAAAGTCCTGGGAAGTCCTGGGAGGAGTTGGTCACACTATGTGGGCCTCTCCATGGTGCTGTTTCCAACAGGAAGAGGGATCTGAAAGAGTGACCAAGACAGAAGCCACAAGGTCTTTTATAGCCTAATCCAGGAAGTAACACACCGTGCTGTATTCTATTAGTCACACAGGCCAGCTCTGGTACAAAGTGCAAAGGGCTTATAAAGTGGTGTGAATACCAGGAGGTGGGGACCACTGGGGCCATCTTGGAGGCTGGCTGCCACATTGCCCCCAAACCTAGGCTTAAAACAACAATCATTTTAGTATCCCTCATATCTGTGGGTTAACAGGACTCAGCTTGGCAGTTCTTCTGCTCTCCATGATATTGGTTGAAGCTGTAGTCAACTAGGGTTCAACATGGCTGGAATCCAAAATGACTCACTTGCCAGGCTGGCAGTTGGTGCTGGCTATTGGCCTGGAGCTCAGCTGAGGCTGTCAGCAGGAGAGTCTTGGTTCTCCTCCATGTGGTCTTTCCACATGGAATAGGCTGGTAATGAGAGAGAACATCCCATGTACCCCTGAACTTAAAAGTTGAAGGAAGGCTGGGCGCAGTGGCTTGTGCCTGTAATCCCAGCAATTTGGGAGGCTGAGGTGGGCAGATCACTTGAGGTCAGGAGTTCGAGACCAGCCTGGCCAATATGGTGAAACTCCGTTTCTACTTAAAATACAAAAATTAGCCAGGTGTGGTGGCGCGTGCCTGTAATCCCACCTACTCGGAAGGCTGGGGCAGGAGAATCCCTTGAACCCAGGAGGCGGAGGTTGCAGTGAGCCAAGATCATGCCATTGCACTCCAGCCTGGGTGTCACAGCAAGACTCTGTCTCAAAAAAAAGAGTTGAAGGGAAAAAAAAAAAAAAAGAACACCCCAAGGACAGGCACTGTAAGAGGAAGGAAACAGAAGCTACCAGTCTTCCTGAGGCCTGAGATTCAGATGTCCTTGAACATCTTATGATGCGTTCTATGGCCAATGCAGTCACAGGCCAGTCCAGATATAAGGAGAGGGGAAATAAACACTTTCTTAAAGTGAAGAGCAGCATATATATGTGTGTGTGTGTATATATGTGTATATACATATGTATATATTTGTGTGTGTACATGCATATATATACACACTACATATACATGTATTTTATATATATACACATGTACATATACATCACACACACACATATATATGTGGAGGGGAGGAATTACTCAGGGCTACCGTACACTTTAGAGATTGCACTTTGGGATCTCTCATTGGGAAATTTACAAAATCCCCAGAGGCAGAGGGGTAGTTCAGGCACTCTCAAATTCCTAGATCTGTAACCCTTGCTTTGTTTTTTTAAAAAATATGTTTTAATTAAAATATTATGTAAGATAAAAATTACATAGGAAACTGATGTTCACTATAGAAAAATTAGAAAATACAGTTAAGCAGAAGAAAGAAGCTATCATGCCAATATCCTGAGATAATCACTGTATATTTTTGGTAGATAGCACCCTGGTATTTATTCTATGCAAAAGTGATACTTTTATTTAAAAAAAAAAAACTACTCTGTACATACTGTTTTGGAACCTATTGTTTTCACTTAAAATTACAGTTGGAACATCTTTTCATGACAATTCATATAGAACTACATCATTAGTTTAAAGGTTGCATAGTGTTTTATTGTATGTATGCAAACCAAGATTCTTTTTTTTTTTTTTTTTTTTTTTGAGACAGAGTCTCACTCTGTCGCCAGGCTGGGGTGCAGAGGCACAATCTCGGCTCACTGCAACCTCCGCCCCTTAGGTTCAGGCGATTCTCCTGCCTCAGCTTCCCAAGTAGCTGGGATTACAGGTGCCCACCACCATGGCTGGCTAATTTTTGTATTTTAGTACAAAAGGGGTTTCACCATGTTGGCCAGGCTGGTCTCGATCTCCTGACCTCAGGTGATCTGCCTGCCTTGGCCTCCCAAAGTGCTGGGATTACAGGTGTGAGCCACCACGCCCGGCCTATACCAACCAAGATTCTTGATTTTGACAAGAGAAGCCAATACTGGTTAAGTCGGTCAGCCAAAAGAAATTTTTTGGAAGTATTTTGGATAGCCCACAGAATCTATCATATGTCAGTTAAGTGTTCCATTACCTATGGTAGTATAATAATTCACCAACCTTAGGTGGAGTAAAACAACCACCATTTCATTATGCTCATAAATTCTGTGTGCAAGAAATTCTAACAGGGCATAGCAGGGATGATGCCACAATGTCTGAGACCTCAGCTGGAAAAACTCAAACTTGGAATGACATGAAAGGCTGGGGTGCGGGGAGGGGGAATGGAATCATCTGGGAGCTTCATCCATATGTTTAGGGTCCTGGGCTAGGAGAACCTGAACCCTGGGCTGAGCTGGGACTCTTGACCAATGTACCTACATGTGGCCTCTGCATGCAGCTTGGGCTTCCTCACAGTGTGGCAGCCTCTGGGTTGTCTAACTTCCTTTTTTTTTTTTTTTTTTTTTTTTTGAGACGGAGTTTTGCTCTTGTTGCCCAGGCTGGAGTGCAGTGGTGGAATCTTGGCTCACTGTAACCTTCACCTCCCAGGTTCAAGTGATTCTCCTGCCTCAGCCTCCCTAGTAGCTGGGATTACAGGTGCCCACCACCATGTCTGGCTAATTTTTGTATTTTTTAGTAGAGACAGGGTTTCACTGTGTTGGCCAGGCTGGTCTCGAACTCCTGACCTCAGGTGATCTGTCCACCTCAGCCTCCCAAAGTGCTGGGATTACAGGCGTGAGCCACCACACCCAGCCTGGGTTGTCTAACTTCTTCCAAAAGGTTGCTTGGTGTTCTAGAGGCTAACATTCCAGCAAACAAAAAGGAAGATATGTGGCCTTTTATGACCTAGCCTTGGAAGTCAATAGTGTCACTTTCACCATATTACATTGATCCAAGTGGTCATAAGTCTGCTCAGGTATGAAGGGAGGGGACATACTCTACTTCTCAATGGGAGGAGTGCCAAAGAATTTGTGGCCATGCCCTAAAGCCACCACAATTAGGGTAAGGTTAGCTGCTGTAACAAAGAGACCCCAACCTAGAGTGGTTTAATGAATACAGTTTCTTTCTCTCACACATCATAGTTCCAATGTGTGTCTCTCACACATCACACTTCTCATAGTCTAGCTTGGTAAGGCGGCTCTGAACCACAAGACATCTATGCCCCTGGAAGCTAGGCTCTACTACCAACATGGCAATCTCGAAAGTCACTCATGGTCCCTCTGTCTTTGTGGGCAAAGCCTTAGGCAGGAGTGTCTCACTCAACCACACTCAGCTCACATGCCTGTACCTTGCCTGCCAGGGAGCAGGGAGTGAGTATATCTGCCTTCCTCCTGATTCTGTAGTGAAAAGCAGGAGAGCTTCCCTACCTTAGAATTTCCCCCTAAGAGGAATGATGATCAGATACTTTATATCTTAATAAGCAGCTAATATCCAGCAGAATATGGATGTATAATATCCCAACATTGCATCCCTTATTGTTACATATTTAGGTTGTAATGTGCTATTGATAACATGATATTTGTCCTGTTGCAAGGAACATTTTTCTATAAATATCTTCGAACACTTGCAAGGTTTTTTTCCTTTAAGATAAATTCTGAGGAGTCAGGTCATAGTTTCTGATTCTGCATCTAGTCCTGTAGGATCCCATTAAAGACATCATAAACACACACACACACACACACACACACACACACACACACACTTTTTTAAAAGTCAGGATGGCAACTCAGGAATTTGTATGAGCCTCAGAGAGAGAGTGGAGAGATCCAGCATGCACTTTCTTTTTTTTGTTGTTTTGAGACAGTCTCGCTCTGTTGCCCCGGCTGGAGTGCAGAGGTGCGATGTCGGCTCACTGCAACCTCTGCTTCCTGAGTTCAAGTGATTCTCCTGCATCAGCCTCCTGAGTAGCTGGGATTACAGGTGCTGGCCACCATGCCCAGCTAATTTTCGTATATTTTTAATAGAGACAGGGTTTCACCGTGTTGGCCAGGCTGGTCTCAAACTCCTGACCTCAAGTGATCCGCCCACCTCGGCCGCCCAAAGTGCTGGGATTACTGGCGTGAGCCACCGCGCCCAGCCAGCATGTACTTTCAAGGGTGATCCCAGGCTTAGGTGTTGGAGTCTCCATGATCAAAACCCACTCCTGTTTATGAAGCGCTGTGAGAAGGGCTTCACATATGCTATCTGTAATCTTTACATAAATCTGATGAGGAAGGTATTATTTTCATCAGGTGGATGGAGAAGCTGAGGTTCCAAGAGATTAAGTAACTGGTTCAAGACCCTAGAGCTGGAACTGAATTCCAAATCCGTACCTTGAACCACTTCTTCCCTCTTAGAACACTTGCTCTTAGGATACTCCTGCTCAAAGCCCAGCTGCTGTATTGCTATATTGTGGGAAGCTCAAGCCACACGAAGAAGCCAGGTGGAGACATTTCAGTCAATGGCCCTAGTTGAGCTCCCAGTGAACAACCAGCCATCTGAATAAGTCATGTAGGGCTTCTCAGCCCAGTTCAGCTCCCCCATGGCTGCAGCCCCAGCTGACATCACAGGGAGCAGAACTGCTCAGTCAAGCTCAGCCAATCCAAAGAGTGGTGAGAGTGAATGTGATGGTGGTTGTTTTAAGTTACTATGTTTTGGCAAGATTTGTTACACAGCAATGGATAACCAAAATGGGGAAGCTACTTATTCTTGGATGAGTCCCAGCAGAGTCTGAAGAGGAGATTCCTTTCCTGGGGGAGTGGCTGGAGTAGGGGACCTTCAATGGCCTTGATGAGTTCAGTGCACAAGGCTGGGTCTGTGTATGGTGCTTTTTCTTGTTCCCTGCCCCAGCTGGGAACAACTACATTGAGTCACAAGGCTTGGGAGGAGAAACTGTACATGAATGAGTTAACAGAAATCTGGGCAAGATTCCCAAAGTAAATAATGTTGATTCTCAGCACAAAGGAAGCATTGCCTAATGCTGCTTAAACTCACATAAACAGTCATTGCTTCATGGCTGATTTGCTATTTTTGAAATTTTCCAATTTCAAAAAAGTAGCCATAATAAGCATTATTAGAAAAAAATAACAGCACTTAGAAATGCTAAACACTGTACACAGTTGCTGAGGGGCATAAGAGGGTCCTTGTCCTTCAGGACCAGTCTTTATAGTTCTGTGCACAGGGAGTGGTGCCCAGATAACCTTGAAGCAGCCCCAGCTGGCACCTCGATCTGAAAGCAAATCCAGCTTCTCCCTCCCATTCAGAGAGCAGAGAAGGGTATTCACAAGGGCACAGGAAGGTGGTGGCTTTTTGGTCTTTGTCAGCCTCCCTCATTTACTCTCCCATCTCTCACCTCTCAGTCCTTTCCAGCTAGTGGTGCTCAGATTTTAGGGCATCAAAATCATTTGGAAAGTATGTAAAAAATGCAAAGCTCAGGTTCTCCCTAAGAAGATTCCCATTCTATAAGTCTGGAGTGGGGTCCCAGTATTTTTTGTTTTATTTTATATATTTGTTTTATTTATTTATTTTTTTGAGACAGGGTCTCACTCTTGGCCAGGCTAGAGTGTGATGGTGCGATCATGGCTCACTGCAGTTTCAACCTCCCAGGCTCAAGTGATCCTCCCACCTCAGCCTCCTGAGTAGCTGTGACCATAGGTATGTGCCGCCAAGCCTGACTAATTTAAAAAATATATTTGTAGAGATAGGGTGTTGTCCTATTGTCCAGTCTGGTCTTGAACTCCTGGGCTCCAAGTGATCCACCTGCCCTGACTTTCCAAAGTGTTGAGATTACAGGCATAAGCCACCACACCCAGCCCAGAATTTTCATTTTAGTAATAACCAGGTGATTTCTTCTGAAAGTAGGCCCCATGCCACAGTTTGAGGAGCACTGTAACCTCAGACTTTCCCCAAAAGCATGTCATAGTGATGGGAAGAACCTTCTTCAAGCTATTCCTACTTCCAGGGACCAGATGGATGAACCTTGGAGAAAGAAAGGGAGAAAATAGGGTCTTCAGATTCCATGCAGGGAAGGATCTAACAAATTCATTTGGAGCAAGTAGTTTTAAAACTGTGTTTTTGGAACCCAGAAGAGTCCTCAGAAGTGCTGTCACTTTTACCCCAGCAGTTTATTTTAATCTGTTTTATTATAGTGGGTTTCCAAGAAATATTTCATTAGAAGAAAACATTTGATTACTAAGTGGCCTCCCTGCTTTAAAAAATTCTCCTTTTGGCTGGGTGTAGTGGCTCACACCTGTAATCCTAGCACTTTGGGAGGCTGAGGCAGGCAGATCACCTGAGGTTGGGAGTTTGAGACCAGTCTGACCAAAATGGACAAACCCCATCTCTACTAAAAATACAAAATTAGCCGAGCATGGTGGCACATGCCTGTGATACCATCTACTTGGGAAGCTGAGGCAGGAGAATTGCTTGAACCTGGGAGGCGGAGGTTACCATGAGCCAAGATCGTGCCATTGAACTCCAGCCTAAGCAACAAGAGTGAAACTCCATTTTTAAAAAAAAAAAAATTATCCTTTTGGCAACAATGTGGGGAAATTGGAACCCCCTTACATTGCTGGTGGGAACATAAAATGATGCAGACACTATGGCAAACAGTTGGGCAGTTCCTCATAAGTTTACCTTATGACCTAGCAATTCTACTCCTGGGTTTATACTCAAAAGAATTGAAAACAGGTATTCAACTGAAAACCTGTAATGTTCATAGTAGCACTATTCACAATAGCCAAAAGGTGGAAACAACCCAAATGTTTATCAACTGATAAATGGATGAACAAAATGTATCTATCCCTACAATAAAGAGTTATTCAGGCATTAAAAAGGAATGAAGTACTGATGCATGCTACAATATGGACGACCCTCAAAAACAGTGTATGAAGTGAAAGGAGTAAGACACAATGGGCCACATATTGTATGATGCCATTTATGCAAAACATCCAGAACAGGCAAATCCATAGAGACAGAAAGCCAACCAGTGGTTGCCAGCGTCAGGGGGAGGGGGAGGCAATGAAGAATGACTGCTTAATGGATATAGGGTATCTTTTGGGGATGATTAAATGTCCTGGAACTAAGTAGTGATAATGGTCGTACAACATTATGAATGTACTTAATGTCGGTAACAGTAAATTTTTTTTTTTTTTTGAGACGGAGTCTCGCTCTGTCTCCCAGGCTGGAGCGCAGTGGCACTATCTTGGCTCACTGCAAGCTCCGCCTCCCGGGTTCATGCCATTCTCCTGCCTCAGCCTCCCGAGTAGCTGGGACTACAGGTGCCCGCTACCACGCCCGGCTAATTTTGTGTATTTTTAGTAGAGGCGGGGTTTCACTGTGTTAGCCAGGATGGTCTCGATCTCCTGACCTCATGATCCGCCCGCCTCTGCCTCCCAAAGTGCTGGGATTACAGGTGTGAGCCACCACGCCCGGCCGGTAACAGTAAATTTTAATTGTATTTTTACCACAATAAAAAAAAATCCTGATAGACAGATCTAGAACAACCATCTCATTTTTTACTAACAAGGAAACTGAGGTCAGACAGCAGAAATGATGGCTGTGTGTGGTGGCTCATGCCTGTAATCTCAACACTTTAAGAGGCCTAGTTGGGTGGATTGCTTGAGTCTGGGAGTTTGAGAGCAGCCAAGGCAACATGGTAAAACCCTGTCTATACCAGCAAGAACAACAACAACAACAACAACAAACAAAAGAAAAAACAACAAAAAAGAAACAGAAAGAAAGAAAATAAAAGCAAAAAAAAAGAAAAGAAAAGAAAAAAAAAAGAAAATGACCTGGCGAGATCATTTAGAGGCATCTGTCCACATAGTGGTGAAACCACAGACAACCACCTGTTAGAGATGAGGCTAGGACTGCTGACCCCCTAGCCCACCACAGCAGTCTGCCTTTCTTCCTCAACCTCCCCCTCCCCAGAACCCCCTACCAAAAAAGCTAAGTTTCAGGGGCATGCAAAGGCCTGAGCTGCGTGCCACTCCATAGTTTCTGTAAAGGCCTCCTGCCTCCCAGGCAAATGTCCACCTTGCCCACCCACAAAGCAGTTGGCCAGCCTTGTTTCTGCTGTCTCCAATGCCTGTTCCCTGCAAGTATGTTGAATGAAAGACAAACCCATGTCTAGCTTCATGTTTAAGTAAATCTTCCCAAGGGCCTCACCCACAGCTGCAGCTGTCTGAGCGGGTTGATAAGGGTTGGGTGGATCGGATTCTTTACATTGCAGACATTGCTCAGTTTCCCAAACTGCAACTGACCCGATAGACCGGAGGAGCTGGCGATGGTCCCAGGAATGGCTAGGATTTATCCTTGCCATACACATTTGTGGGCATTTGGCTCTTCTCTCTGACTAGGACCATATACATCTGTCACATAGTAGATGCTTAATAAAGATTCATCAGTGCCTGTGGTTTTTGTCTTAGAGTCATCCTGGGAATGTCTTCTTCATTCTAGTTAAAAGAGTTCAGGAAAAGGCCTGCTTTCTCAGTGTTCCTGAGACAAAAAGATTCAGGATAAGCCTATATGAGAACTGAGAGTCATTTTATCTGGTCAGTTTCTGAGATAGAATTATTGACCATTCTGGGAGGTGACAACAGAAAGGAATAGCTCATTCACATGCGTATTACAGGTGAACTTTGGGGCCAAGGTCTTCTGAAT
This sequence comes from Homo sapiens, assembly GCF_000001405.40. Classification (NCBI taxonomy): domain Eukaryota; kingdom Metazoa; phylum Chordata; class Mammalia; order Primates; family Hominidae; genus Homo; species Homo sapiens. Next base: position 133,532,720 of record NC_000003.12, on the reverse strand, counting down.
ATATGCATAGTCCCTTTCCCAGAGTCTTAGGGTTTTGCTAAGGCTGTTTGGTCTGCCCCAGATCCTGACCTTTCCTTATATCTCTTAGCTACAGTCTCAAAACATATGATGGGTTTTTAAAGGAAGTTCATTAACATACAAGAGGGCAATAGCAGGACCTAAGAAAGCCAGCTATCTTGAAATTTACTGAACTCAGCAGCTGAGAGACCTGGCTGAGATGGGAAAGCCAGCTTTGCCTACCTGTGTTCAGGGCCTGCTTCAGGACGGGAATAGGAAGGGAGAATTCTCTCTGTCCTGACAAGATGACCCTCTTCTCTTAGCCTCAGAAGACTACCTAAAACCATGAACTTGGAGGTTTGCTTCATTCAGAGGGGATGAATGGGGACACTGTGGAAGACTGCGGAGCAGCAGTGAATGGAGTTCCTTAAGTTACTATTTAGACTGAAGTAGGAAAGGAGAGAATTTCTACAATGCAGTGATTGGGGGTGAATGCAAAGTTGAGGCTGACCTCGGTGGTTGTCTGTGGTTTCGTCACTACGTGGACAGATGCCTCATTTCCTGATGCAGCCTTTCCCAGCTGGATGGTCTCCCAGGAGCAAGAGGTTTAGGAAACTCTGCAGATTCCATCCTTCATTGGATATTTCAAAGTGTACCACTCTGTTCAATGCTCTGAGAGGTCCTGCATTAAAGAAACCTGCTTTGGTGTTATTTAACGCAATGTTTCCCAAAGTTATTTGATTCCAGCATTTCTTTTGCCCCTTCATAACATTCGTACTACTTGAGAGCTAAGTTTCTAAGAACACACTTAGGAAATGCCACCCTAATGCCCAGTGCAGTTGGTTCTGGCCCTGTATGCCTTGCAGTGTGCAGTGATGGTTATTTGGGCAGGACATGCAATGATCCTGCTATGATCATCCAGGAAATATAATCATTTATCATACCTGTCAGGATCCTTTCCAAACTGAGATTTTATTATAATTATTATTATTATTATTTGAGACAGAGTCTTGCTCTGTCGCCCAGGCTGGAGTGCAATGGCACAATCTCAGCTCACTGCAACCTCCGCCTCCCAGGTTCAAGCGATTCTCTTGCCTCAGCCTCCCGAGTAGCTGGAATTACAGGTGCCTACCACCATGCCCGGGTAATTTTTTGTATTTTTAGTAGAGACAAGGTTTCACCCTGTTGGCCAGGCTGGTCTCGAACTCCTGACCTCAGATGATTCACCTGCCTTGGCCTCCCAAGGTGCTGGGATTACAGGTGTGAGCCACCACGCCCCGCCGAGATTTTATTATTGTTCTCCGCACCAACAAAGGGAACCACTGACATTTATTGAGCATCGTGCACTAGGAGCTTTTTGTATGTTATCTCTGTAATCCTCCCCTGGACTCTATTATCCCCATTTTACAGATGAGGAAATTGAGACCCAGAGAGGAGATATAAGGACTTCACTCAGGTAAGTATGTGGCAGTGCCACAGGATTCAGGCTGAGGACTGTGGGGCTCCACACTGGTATTCTCTCCTCACCTCACTAACAAATTGCATTTTCATGGCACGATTTTCAGAGTGCCTGATTTCTGTTCTGCTCTTGGGGAATCCCAGCAAATCCCATGAGGAATTTGTTTGGACTTAAGTGAGACATTCGAATGTAGAGGCCACCACAGGCAGCTGAAAGCATTTGGAGTCTAGGAGAGAGGACAAGACTGGAGAAAATAAAATTCATCTCAGATGTCAGGTCACCCAGAGGGAGGGCAGCTCTGGCAGTGAATTCAGCTGTTATCAATATCAGCAAGTCTAAGGTTCTTTCCTTCTGTCCACTCTGCCGTGCAGGATGGTGGTGGCAGGTCCAGATCTCACAAAGTTTGGAAGAGGGAGGGCTGCTGATTTTTGCTTGTTTTTGTTTTGTTTTTAGTCAAGAAACATTTCAGAGAAACCCTTCTACTGGCCAGCAGATTTTTCTCTCACTTCTTATTGGCCTGAACTGTATCATGTGACCAATCCTAAACCAATCACTCACCAGGCAAATGGACTGCAAAGATTAGCTTAGACCAGGTAGGAACTATCCCCTCTGACTGGAGCTGGGTCAGATTTCTTTTTGTATAGGAGAAAAGCAATGGATATTAGGTAGACGACTAGATGCTTCTTGTGTGTGTGTGTGTGTGTGTGTGTGTGTGTGTGTGTGTGTGTGTGTGTGTTGGGGTCCGGTTTGGGGAGTATGAGAGAATAACTGTTATCCACTGTGTCCTTGAACCTCCTGCCTTGAACTGCTTCTCATCCTGTCCAATCTCTCATTTTCCTTTCCTTTCCTGTAGTTAGATGATGTTATTGGTCCCTATTTATCATCCCTTCCTGTATCCACATCCTTTGCAATGTAACTTGGCAGTGTCTTCTCTCTGTGAATTCCACCTGGCTCTAAACTTTGGGTTTGGTTATGTCAGTAATGCAGAAGTGAACACACTTGAGTTCTGCACTTAGGTCTCAAGAGACCTCAGGTGTTTCTGCTTATCTTTGTACACCTCTGCCATCACCATGAGAAGAATATGGCTCCCCATAGCCCACTAGGGAACATGGGGAACAGAGCTGCCCCGGACAAACCCAGCCTAGAGAAGATCCTCCAACCAACCCACAGATGCATGAGTAAGCTCAGCGTAGATTGGCCATACCTCAGCTGACTCACACAAGTGAGCTTAACAATCAATAATAATTGTTAAGATGCAGAGTTCTGGGGTGGTTTGTTACATAGCAGTAGCTGACTGATACACTCCCCACACATCCTCTTCTCTCTCCCTGTTGCTCTCATTTTCTGTGGCTGTTTTTTATCCTAGACTTTGACAATTTCAGAAATTATTATAAAGAAGTTAAACAACAGTAATTCTGAAACAAAGAAGGGAGAAAAAAGTCACCTATAATTCCAGTCCTGTAAACAGCAACTGTTTTCATCTTTGTGTTTCCTCTCGGTCTTTGACTCTACATATATATAGACAGACTCTGATTTACAATGGCTTGGCTTACAATTTTTCAACTTTACTATGGTGTAAAAGCAATACACATTCAGTACTTAGTCAATAAATTCCATAAGATATTCAACCCTTTTTTTTTTTTTTTTGAGATGGAGTCTTGCTCTGTCACCCAGGCTGGAGTGCAGTGGCACGATCTTGGCTCACCACAACCTCTGCATCCCAGGTTCAAGTGATTCTCCTGCCTCAGCCTCCTGAGTAGCTGGGATTACAGGCATGTGCCACTGCACCCAGCTAATTTTTTGTATTTTTAGTAGAGACAGGGTTTCACCGTGTTGGCCAAGCTGGTCTTGAACTTCCAACCCAGGTAATCCGCCCAGCTTGGCCTCCCAAAGTGCTGGGATTACAGGCGTCAGCCACAGTGTGCAGCCTTTTTTTTTTTTTTTTGAGACAAAGTCTTAGTCTGTCACCCAGGCTGGAGTGCAGTGGTGTGATCTTGGCTCACTGCAACCTCCACTTCCTGGGTTCAAGCGATTCTCCTGCCTCAGCCTCCCGAGTAGCTGGGATTACAGGTGTGGATCACCACACCTGGCTAATTTTTGTATATTTAGTGGAGATGGGGTTTTGCCATGTTGGCCAGGCTAGTCTCGAACTCCTGACCTCAAGTGATCAGCTTGCCTTGGCCTCCCACAGTGCTGGGATTACAGGTGTGAGACACTGTGCCCGGCCAATATTCAACACTTTTAAAAACAATTTTTATTTTGATTTTGAGACAGGTGTCACTCTGTCACCCAGGCTGGAGTGCAACAGCACCATCATGGCCCACTGCAGCCTCGACCTCCTCGGCTTAAGTGATCCTCCTGCTTCAGCCTCCTGAGTAGCTGGGATTACAGGTGCACACCACCACGCCTGGGTAATTTTAATTTTTAAAAAATTTTTTGTAGAGACAGGTTCTCCCTGTGTTGCTCAGGCTGGTCTCGAACTTCTGGGCTCAAGTGATCCTCCTGCCCTGGCCTCCCAAAGTCTGGGATTACAGGCCGAAGCCACTGTGTCCAGCTGTGACCGATTCAATTGAGGGAATGCAGTGAAAGTGATACTGTGTGACTGGTCAGAAAATGCCATGAAGCTGCTGCCTGATTCTTTCTCCTGGGAGAGTCAGCCACAAAGTTGAACTACCTCGAGATCACCATGCTAGAGAGGCCACAGATAGATGCTCTCCAGGATAGCCCAGTTGAGTTCCTGGCCAACAGCTAACACCAACTGGCAGCCATCTAGGATTTTTCAGCCCAGTCGAGCCTTTGGATGTTCCAACCCTAGCCACTAAGTCCTCGCAGCCATAGAGTCTTCCCAGCTGAAGCCCTACCCATTGAGGAGCAGAGATAAGCCACCCCACTGTGCCTTGTCTAGATTCTTGACACACAGAATCCATGGATATCATTAAATGGTTATTTTAAGCTGCTAAATTTTTGGGGTAATTTGTTATAGGCAACAGTAACTGGAACAAACTAGTAACATTTTTATGACTCCTGTTAAATTTTACAAATTGCTTTTTGTTGTCACCAACCATATCTGCATGCACGAGTTTCAGTAACACATTTTGCTGGCTTTGAGCCTTTTCACTTTAAAAAATGTCCATCCAATGGGGTATCCTCATATATTTTCATGGAATTTTGGAATTTACTCTCTAGCTGAAGGACATAAACACAGGTGATTGTCTCTTTACGTCTTTGGACATCTGTAAAATTCATTCTTCTTGGGGGGAGTTTTTTCTCCTGAAGGAATTTTGTTTATCTTGGATTTGAAACAGAGCTCTGATACTTATTTGCTTAGTAACTTTGGGCATCTGAGTTTCAGTTTCCTCATCTGTAAAATGGGATAATAATCTTCTGGTTTTTTTCTTCTCCTTATTTTTTTTCTCTTTCTTCTTATTTCTGTCTTTTCCTCTTTCTTTCTTAATTTCTTTCTTGCTTGTCTTATTTTTCCATTTTCTCATAAAACCCAGACTCTTATATTAATTTTCCCTGGAAGATCCTTAAAACTCTGCCATGGATCCTCCCTAAAGTGGCTTGAGAGGCACTGACGTTTTTCCAGTAACAGAGACCAGTAGAGAAGGTGGCTGCTGATTAATTCCATGTCAGCCAGGGCGTCCTGTGCTCTGCATCTAGAATAGGGCAGTTTCCAAGGTGACCAGGACTAGTGTGTGAGGATAAGGTGAGGCCCTGGAGTTATGAGCTGCCAAACTCATAAACCACACAGGCTTCCCCTGAGCCACGCGTTGCACACTACTCGCCAAGCAATTTAACAACTGACTTGAGGCAAAATGTTCCAACAACATTTAATGATCAGTGCAGCTATAAATAGGATCATAGAACAATTTGGATAGATATTAATATATGGGTTCAGCACTGGAGTGACTAAACCTTGAGTTGTTTTGACCTCAGAGAGCCATCAAAAATGTGCTGCAAGGAACAATTCTGTGGTTGTCTGTGGCAGATGTTTTGTTCCTGTTTGACATGTCCTTGTGTGTGTAATTTACTAACATGATAATAACCTGCTGTTTGGCAGTTTGCAATTTACAAGGTGCCTTTACACACATGTTCTCATTTAATCCTTGGAAGATACGCACTATTACTGAGAATGGGGGGAAACAAATAACTTGCTTCAGGACATCCAGATCAGGACACAGAGAGGGGAGTGAGGTGGGATGATGGTGGTGGTGGTGATGGTGATAGTAGACTCCAGATTTGAGACAAGGACTGTGTGGCTCTCAAATTGGTTTTCCCTCCTTATTTCACCAAAATCCTGATGTTCTTATTTAAAAGACTTGGAATAATAATTCCTCTCCTATCTTCACAGAGGCCAGCCCATTTGGTTCCAGCACCCAGATCTTTCTTTTATTACTTCACATTAAAAGTGGGCTTGCCAGATTTAGTAAAGAAAAATTCAGGGCACTCAGTTAAATTTAAATTTTATACAAATAATAAATAATATTTTAATGTAAGTATGTCCCATGGTGCATTTTATCTGGCAAGCCAGTTAAAAGCATTGTTGGCTGGGCACGGTGGCTCACGCCTGTAATCTCAGCACTTTGGGAGGCCGAGGTGGGCGGATCACTGAGGTTGGGAGTTCAAGACCAGCCTGCCCAACATGGAGAAAACCTGTCTCTACTAAAAATACAAAATTAGAGGGGGGTGGTGGCGCATGCCTGTAATCCCGGCTACTTAGGAGGCGGAGGCAGGAGAATTGTTTGAACTTGGGAGGCAGAGGTTGCAGTGAGCCGAGATCGCACAATTGCACTCCAGCCTGGGCAACAAGAGTGAAACTCTGCCTCAAAAAAAAAAAGAAAAAAAGGCATTGTTATTAAACATTTTTCCCCTAAAAAGTAATGTGGGATTCTTACAGAAAATTATGAGCCTAGTGCGGTGGCTCACTCCTGTAATCCCAACACTTTGGGAGGCCAAGGTGGACAGATCACTTGAGGTCAGGAGTTCGAGACCAGTCTGGCCAACATGGCGAAACCCCATCTCTACTAAAAATAAAAAAATTAGCCGGGCTTGGTGGCAGTCACCTGTAATACCTGCTACTCAGAAGGCTGAGGCAGGAAAATCACTTGAACCTGGGAGGTGGAGGTTGCAGTGAGCGAGCCGAGATTGCGCCACTGCACTCCAGCCTGGGCGACAGAGCTAGACTCTGTCTCAAAAAATAAATAAATAAATAAATAAAATTATGAAAAGCCAGATAAACAAAAGGAAGAAAATAAAAATTACTCTTAATTTAACTAGCTGGCAACAACTGCTGTTAATATTTTGGATAATTACTATGACCTTTTTTCTCGTGCATATATTTATGTGTAAAAATTTTTTAAAAATAGAAAGTGAGATTTGCTGAATATATTTGCTTGATATTAAGTAAATATATATATAGTGATATACTGAAATATATTCAGTAAGTCTCACTTACTTACTGAAATATACTCAGTAATTGAGACTTATTGAATATGCAGACTTGCTTTTTTTCACTTCCCTATATGTCACAAACATCTTTCCATGTCCTCATGTGTTTTTGTAATATTCAAGTGACTGCAAGGTCATCAGTTGGACAGCATACTGTGTTTAGCTAATCCTCCATAGTCAAACCCTTAGATTGTTTCCAGTGGTTTATTATTACAGACCTTGCAATAAACAATCTTCACTAAGTCTCTCTGCACATCCCTGGAATACATTTCTGGCAGTAGAATTTCTAGGTCAAAGGGTAAGCAAACTTTTAAGGTTTTTGTTATATATTGTCAAATTGTTCTCTGGAAAATTTGTGCCAAATTATATTCTCACAAATAATATCTGAACATGCTTATTCCCTTGCACATTGTCAACACTTGGAGTTATTAAAAACAAAAAAGAGAAAAATCCCACTTTGATTTTGAATCTGCCCTGATTCCATAACCATACTCAATACCCTGTAAGCTATGTTTAGTGATCTCATTTCTTTCTACCGAGTCTTCAATTCAAAAAGAGGGGAATGGACTAGATTAGGGACAGAAACTAGCACTGTCCCATCACATGCTCATGCCAGGCATCATTAATCAGTCTTGGCTAGGTGTGGTGCCTCACACCTGTAATCCTACCACTTTGAGAGGCCTTGGCAAAAGGATTGCTTCAGGCCAGGAGTTCAAAACCAACCTAGCCAACATAGTGAGACCCCCCCCAACCATCTTAAAAAGAAAAATCAGTCTTGGCACTCTTTCTACTGGACTTGGACAAAGCTTCAGAATCTTGTTCATCCCAACCTTGCAGGTAGCCATTACTAAATAAATTGCTTATTAGAGGAAATTTAATACAAGAATTTAGGCCGGGCATGGTGGCTCACTCCTGTAATTCCGGCACTTTGAGAGGCCAAGGCAGGCAGATCACCTGAGGTCAGGAGTTCGAGACCAGCCTGGTCAACATGGTGAAACCCCCCTCTCTACTAAAAATACAAAAATTAGCTGGGCGTGGTGGTGCGCGACTGTAATCCCAGCTACTCAGGAGACTGAAGCAGAAGAATTGCTTGAACCCGGGAGGTGGAGGCTGCAGTGAGTTGAGACCACGCCATTGCACTCCAGCCTGGGTGACAGAGTGAGACTGTTTCAAAAAAAAAAATTATATTTTTTTAGGTGTGATAATAATATCATGTGTATGCTTTTTAAGAAAGAGTCCTTGTCTATTAGAGCAGTAGTTTTCATTTTTGACGTTTTACCCCCACACCCCCAGGGGAGATTTCTGGAGTCATTTTTGTTTGTCGAAACAGCGGGGGACGGGTGATACTGGCATCTAGTGGGTAGAGACCAGGAATATTACTGAACGTCCTACAACACACAGGACTGTCCTCTACAACAAAGAATTATTTAGCCCACACATCAATAGTGCTGAGGTCTAGAAACAATGTTTTAGAGATATAGAATGAAACATTTATGGGTAAAATACAATGGGTAAGATTTGCTTCAAAATAATATGTGACAGAGGAAGTAGATGGAGGTATGAATGAATAGGACATTGATGGTTGTTTGTTGGGATTGGGTAAGGGAGCTTTGTTGTATTCTATTTCCTTTTAGATAAGTTTGAAATTCCTTGTAGTGAAGAAATTAAACGTCTCCATGAGGTGCATTGCCACGTCTTCTCTAAGAAGCCTCCTTAACATCCTCTGGTGGCTCCTGAACTTTTTCTGTTCTCATTCACAGGGAAGCTATGAAGTAGACAAAGTTTATTTTGGGTGTCTGCCTATCTCTTCCTTCCCAACCACCAGAAGAGAGGTGATCAGGTTGTGGTTCCCTAGTCTATTTACTCTTACTACTTCCTCATCGGCAAAACAGGGACATGAAGGAAACTTGCTTACCTCATGGGGCTGCCTGGAGACTTGAGGTTACATCTTGCCTAGTATTACCAAAATTGTGATACTTTTCTCCACCCCATAATAGCACAGTCTTTGGTCTCAACTTGAACTAAAGTCTTTTTTTTTTTTTTTTTTTTTAAACAGCATACCGCTCTGTCACCCAGGCTGGAGTACAGTGGCACGATCGTGGCACGCTGCAGCCTCAACCACTAGTTTAGGTGATCTTCCCACCTCAGCCTCCCAAGTAGCTGGGACTACAGGCATGCACCACCATGTGCAGCTAATTTTTTGTATTTTTTTGTAGAGATGAGGTTTCGGGTGTTGCCTAGCATGGTCTCAAACTCTGGAGCCCAGGCAATCCACCCACCTTGGCCTCCCAAAGTGCTGGAATTACAGGTATGAGTCACCCTGCCCGGCCTTGAACTAAAGTCTTTTAATTTCAGTATAATTTTAGCCTCATAGAATTAGTTGAAAAGTAATTTCCCCCCCGCCCCCACTAGATTTTCCAGAAGTATATAATTGTTATAATTTCTTCCTTACATGTTTGGTAGAATTCATACGTGAAACCATCTGGATCTGGTTTTTTATTTGTGGAAAGATTTTAAACTATGTGTTCAATTTCTTTAACAGATATAGGTCTATTCAGGTTGTTTATTTCTTCTCAAGTGTCTTTGGTAGTCGAATTTGTCCCTTTCATCTAAGTTGACAAATGTATTGGCATAAAGTTGTTCGTGACTTTTCCTTACCATCCTTTTAATCTTGGTGGTATCTCCTCTCTCATTTCCTTTTTTTTTTTTCTTCGTGAGATGGAGTCTCGCTCTGTCGCCCAGGCTGGAGTACAGTGGTGTGATATAGGCTCATTGCAGCCTCTGCCTCCTGGGTTCAAGCGATTCTCCTGCCTCAGCCTCCTGAGTAGCTGGGATTACAGGTGTGCACAACCACGCTCAGCTAATTTTTGGATTTTTATAGAGACAAGGTTTCACCATGTTGACCAGGCTGGTCTTGAATCCCTGACTTCAAGTAATCCACCCACCTTGGCCTCCCAAGGTGCTAGGATTACAGGAGTGAACCACTGGGCCCAGCCTCCTTTCTCATTTCTTTCTCTCTCTTTTTTTTTTTTTTTGAGACAAAGTCTCACTCTGTCGCACAGGCTGGAATGCAGTGGAGCGATCTTGGCTCACTGCAACCTCTGCCTCCTGGGTTCAAGCAATTCTCCTGTCTCAGCCTCCCAAGTAGCTGGGATTACAGGCATGCACTACCATGCTCGGCTAAGTTTTGTATTTTTAGTAGAGACGAGGTTTCTCCATGTTGGCCAGGCTGGTCTCGAACTCCTGACTTCAGGTGATTCGCCCGCCTAAGCCTCCCAAAGTGTTGGGATTACAGACATAAGCCACCGTGCCCGGTCCTCTTTCATTTCTTAAGTTGGTAATTTATGTCTGAATTGAAGTCTTTTAGATGACAAAAATTCAACAGGAAAATAGTACTCCTTTGCTCACATACAGCATCGACTTGAGTTTGAAGTCTTTGCTTTTATACATTGTCATAGAATTGTTTCTTGTATTGAGTTAATGTGGCAGAAGGCTCATGGAAAGGTGAAGGGGGAAAGTCAGACGAGAATCTGATTTGAATGGTCTCTGTCGTTGTTAAAGGAGGAAGTAGAAGTGCTGGTTGCACTGGGATTTTTTGCATTCTGAGTTAGCTTCAGGGGATCACAGAGTTTTGGTCGGGGTCACTGACGCCTACATTCTGGGTCCCTTCCAAGTCATTCTGTTAACTATCCTATTATTTTGGTAGCATGTGGCCCTAAGTAATGTCACCAGGCCTGTTTACTCCCGGGCTCTAGAGATTGTGACAACATTGACCAGCTCAGATTGTATTCTAGGTCCACTTTTCCAGGAAGTATCTGGGGGCAGTTTGAAATAGTGGGAAATCCATAGCTTTTGGAGTGAGACAGACTTAAATTGAGAGTTTAGTTTTGCCATTCACTAGCTGTGAAGCTAGGGCAAGTTCCAAAAATTCTGTGAACTCTACTTTCCTCATTCAAAAAATGAGGATAATAAGACTACTTCACAGTGCTCTTGGGATGTTTAAATGAGATATAGCACATGTCAAATTTGAGTGGATCTCAAAGTGTGGTCCTTGGACCAGCAGTATTACCGTCACCTAGAAACTTATTAGAAATGCAAATTCTTTTTTTTGAGATAGGTTCTCGTTCTGTTGTCAGGGCTAAAGTGTAGTGATGAGATCACGACTTACTGCAACCTGGGCCTCCTGGGTTCAAGCAGTCCTCCCACTTCAGCCTCTTAAGTAGCTGGGACTGCATATGCATACCACCATACTGGCTTATTATTATTATTATTTTTTATAGAGACAAGGTCTCACTACATTGCCCAGGCTGGTGTTGAACTCCTGGGCTCAAGTGATCATCCTGCTTTGGCCTCCCAAAGTACTGAGATTACAGGTGTGAGCCACCACACCTAGTTAAAAATGCAAATTCTTGAGGTCTACTCTAGACCTACTGAATCATAAACGCTGAGAGTGAGAAGCTAACAATCTGTGTTTTGTTTATTTTGTTTTTGTTGTTGTTTTTTTTGGGGGGACAGGGTTTTACTTTGTTGCTTAGGCTGGAGTACAGTGGCACAATCATAGCTCACTGCAACCTCAAACTCCTGGGCTCAAGCAATCCTCTCGCCTCAGCCTCCCAAAGTGCTGAGATTACAGGCATGAGTCACTGCACCAGGCCAACAATCTATGTTTTATCAAGGCTGCTAGGTGATTCTGATGGTTGGCTAGGTTTGAGAACCAGTGGATTAGTATGTTTGTTTTTTGTTTTTGAGAGGGAGTCTTGCTGTGTCGCCAAGACTGGAGTGCAGCGGCACGATCTTGGCTCACTACAACCTCTGTCTCCCTGGTTCAAGCAATTCTCATGCCTCAGCCTCCTGAGTAGCTGGAATTACAGGTGTGTGCCACCATGCCCAGCTAATTTTTGTATTTCTAGTAGAGATGGGGTTTCACCATGTTGCCCAAGCTGGTCTCAAACTCCTGACCTCAAGTGATCCACCCACCTCATCCTTCCAAAGTGCTGGGATCTGGGATTACAGGCGTGAGCTGCTGTGCCTGGGCAGTTATTTATATATATATTTTGATATCTATTCTTCCAGCTTGTTTTGACTCTTAAACTAATTAAACTTTTCAAGAGTCAAGACAGTCTGTCCCTCTCTTTGTTTTTCTGGCTAATCCTCTTGTTTCCTGTCTTTTCCAAAGTTCTTGGGAAGTATTAGCATTCAATAGGAACTCAGAAAAAGTTAACTACATTTCCATCTGCCAAATAAGGACAGAATTGCCCTTGGCTTTCCAGCATTTTACTTATTTATTTGACTTATATAGCACCTTGGCTCAATTGGGTGTCTGGAAGATGAAGTGTTCAGTGTGCACCTGGAATGAATACCAATCTTGCTCTGACACCAGGGATGTTGGGAGTGTAATGTCTTCCTCCCAGTGTCAGCCAAGCACCACTTCAACCCCAATAAACATAAAAGCTTGAGCAAAGTCATAGACCATTTGGTCCTGAGTAGAGAAGAGATGCAATAAAACCTCATCAACTCACAGCAACTGGAGAGAGTGAGAGGGGAGAGGGAAGGCCAACAAATAAATGAAAAACTTGAGTTGTCTATAAAATTCTTTGTTTGATAAAAATGCAGTCTTATTTGCATAGCCTTTTATTGTTTAAGAAGCACCCAAAACAGGGACCAGTTAATAGCTACCTTACAGAACTCTTGTGAGAAATGAATGCGATTACCAGTAATAGTCTAAGCATGGTGACTTTAACATTTATTTATTTATTTATTTATTTATTTATTTGAAATGGGTCTTGCTGTGTTGCCCAGGTTAAACTTGAACTCCTGGGCTCAAGCAATTCTCCCACTTCAGCCTCCCATGTAGCAGGGGCCATAGGTATGAGCCACCATGCCTGGCATCGTTTATTAAGCATTCCATAAATAATATTACTGAATTATTACTGGTATTAACAGTAGATGATAGGCAAATATTTAGTCGATAAATGGCTAATTGAATGACTGATTGGTTGAATGAATGAATAATCAATTTGTTTAATCACAGAGCTTTTTTTTTGCTTAGTGCAAAAGCAAGCTTCAGGGAAAATTATTCATTCAGTAGTAAGTGAGCCCCATAACAGCTGTCAAGGCCCGAATAAGTACAGTTGAAACTCAAAAAAATAGCTCTATGATAGCCAAAAACTAGAAACCACCCAAATGTCTACCAAAAGGTGAATGGATAGATTGTGGTATATTCATACAATGGAATGCTATTAAACAATAAAAAAGAATGATTTTTTTTTTTTTTTTTTTTTGAGGCAGAGTGCCCAGGCTGGAGTGCAGTGGCAACATCTCAGCTCACTGCAGCCTCTGCCTCCTGGGTTCAAGCGATTCTCATGCCTCAGCCTCCCGAGTAGCTGGGATTACAGGCATGTGCCACCACGCCCAGCTAAGTTTTGTATTTTTGGTAGAGATGGGGTTTCACCATGTTGGCCATGCTGGTCTCGAACTCCGGACCTCAAGTGATCTGCCTGCCTCGGTCTCCCAAAGTGCTGGGATTACAGGCATGAGCCACTGCATCTGGCCAAGAATGAGATTTTGATACACAAAACAACTTGAATAAATCTCAAAATCATGCTGAACAAAAGAAACCAAGCACAAAAGGGTATATGCTATATGATTTCATTTACATAATGTTCTAGAAAAGGCAAACCTAATCTATAGTGAGGCAGCACATTGGTGGTAACCTAAAACCAGGAGTGAGGGTTGGGTTTAACTGCACAGGGACTGTGGAAACATTTCAGGGGGATGAAGACGTTCTGTATCTTGACTATGATGGCAGTTACAAGAGCATATACATTTTTAAAACTCATTGAGCTGTACATTTTAAATGAATGAATTTTATTGTCTATAAATTACACATCAATAAAATTCATTAAAAAAATAAAATAGCAACAGTCTCTTCTAGGAAGATCTGGAAGCCACTTGCGGTGGCAGTCTGGATTCTGAATCCAGAGTGAGATGGAGTGAAGGCCGTACGGTTTAGACTGCCTTTGCTGAAGAAGCCGAGCCTTATCCATGCAGGTTCCATTTACTAGGACTGGTCCCACTGAGGAAGCCAATGCATGGCTGGAATATTGCAGACTAAAATGAAATCACTGCTGCAAGCAGATGAGATATTTCAGACTTGTTCCTCAGGTTCTCTCCTGTTTTGCTCTTAAACTAAATGTAACTTTTAATTTCTGCACTGACCTGGCATGTGCCCAAATTGCATTTAAATTCCGTGTTCCAAGACCCACAGGAACCCATCAGAGGGCTCCAAGGAATCTTAACAAGTTATCACCTTGAAAGGCTATCTTACACATTGCTTTCTGGACTCCGACAATCGCAGACATTCTGTGTGGCCTCCAAGCCCACTGTAGTGCAGGTGTAGTGAAGATTCACCACCAAAGAATCTGGGCCAAAGTCGGGGATGTGAGAACAGGCACCATGGAGGGGCTGCTTCTACCTACCTGGCCACCTTTGGTGATTCATTCGTCTAGATATCTTCTCAATTAATATTTCACAATCTATTTATAAAATCAAAATATGGCCATGTGGCTCGTTTGAAGCATAGAAAAAGATAAACAAAAATTAAAAATTACTGTCAACAGGGATAACTACTGAATAACATTTTGGTCTATATTTTTTCAGGGATACATCACATACACACACGCATAGGTGCGCATTTATTTAAAAGAAAAATATGATCTTACTGTGCAAATTGTTTATTATTTGGTTTTCTACCACTTAATAATTTGTTGGGAACATTTCCCCTTGTTATTAAGTAGTCTCAGTCAACCTTCTATTAGTCAATTATTGCTGCATAACAAACAACATCAAAGTCTCGGGATATAAAACAATAAGCATGGAGTTCTCACTTAGGTGTTTGTGGATCAGCTGAGGTGACTCTGGTCCCCACGTCTCTGTCCTGCCCCTAGGATCAGCAAGCTAGTTCTGGCATGATCCTAGGATGGTGAGGGAAACGCGAGGGGACACACCCAGCTGGCACACCTCATACCTCTACTTATTTCACAGCTGCTAACATCCCAGTGGCCAGAGCATGTCACATGGTGAGCTTAAAGTCAAGGGACAAAGAAGTAGACTCCACTATTTGTGGAGGAACTGCAGAGTTACACAGCAGAGGGCCTGGATACAGGGAGAGGTGACATTGCGGCCAATATTTCAGTCTACAACAAACCTCATTTTCAATGCCAGATTCACACGGATATTTGCAAATTTATTTATTTACCACTCATATAGGGCTATGCGCCTAAGCTACTGTTCCAAAAGCTTTACAAAAAACATGTCTATGAGGTAAGTACCAGTATTAACCCCATTTTACAAATGAGGAAACTGAGGCACAGAAGTTAAATATCTTGCCCTTGATCACCCAGCTGGTAGGTGGGGGAGCGAGGAAGTCTGCATCCAGAGTCCATGCCTACAAGCACCATGCTAGGCTGCCTCACTTATAATTTGTCCCCACTGCCACCACTAGACTGTGGAGAAGGACTCTGCATCCGGTGTAGTAGCTGACCCTGTGAGCACACAGTATATATTTGTTGAATGAGCTCAGTCGTTATCCTGTCCTTAGATATTTAGGCTGGGTCTAGCGTGTTTGGCTATTATATAGTGTTATGGGCTGAATGCCTTCCAGATTCGTATGTTGAAGCCTTAATCCCGAGTACCTCAGAATGTGACTGTATCTGGAGATAGCATTTATATATTTGTTTATTTCTTATAGGGACAGGGTCTCGCTTTATTGCCCAGGCTGGTCTCAGATTCTTAGGCCTTGAAAGAGGTGATTAAGTTAAAATGAGGCCATTAGAATGGGTCCTAATCCAATGTGACTGGTGTCCTTATAAGAAGAGGAGATTAGGACATGCAGAGAGACATCAGGGAAGCCCAGGAAAAGATAGATGACCTTGTGAAGAGGCAGCAAGAAGCTGGCCATCGGCAAGCCCAGGACAGGGGCCTCAGAAGAGATCAACCCTGATGGCGCCCTGATCTTAGACTTAGCCTCCAGAACTGGGAGGAAATACGTTTCTGTTGTTTAAGCCACCCAGCCAGTGGTACTTTGTTATGGCAGCCGTAGCAGTTTAATACATACACCATGTTGTTACAACTATCCTAGTTTGGTCTAAATTTATCTAATCTGTGCATGTATCCATCAGTACTTGGGAGATCTTTGTAAAATTCCATTTAGCCACCACTCCTTTGTGGGGAAAGTATTGTTTTTAATTCAGTGGAAGTTGAATATCTGTTTTCTCCCTAAAACTAAGTCACACAAAAACAAGGACTGTGGAATCCAAGGTTATCTTTCCAACGACTCCTGAACATGGGAAGCACAGTGAGCATTCAACAAACGTCTATTATAGGAGTTAATAGAATCACACTTTCTTCTTCCTTCTGCCTCAGCCAGAGCCAAGGCAAAGAATTTACCAGGGGCTCCTGGTCAGAATGGATGGTGAGAGGTGGGACAAGAGAGTGTCAGGGCCCAGACATGTCAGAAGGAAGAAGTGCAGGAGGAGAGAAAGAGAAGAGAAAGAGAGAAGACTTCCTCAGCAAGAAAGGCCAGGTATCTTCAGAGAAACATACTTTTTCCCAAGATGATGAAAGAAAGAGGAGGCACAACAGCAGAGTTTAAGGGACGACCTGCCTTGCTCAGGAGTGTGGTAATGCAAGCGGGAGTAGGATTAACTGGGGCCCCACCACTCTTTCTGAATGACCACTTAATGTCCTTCTGTAGGTATTCGTAAAAGGGGGTGCAGATAGTAGGGTAAGAGTTATGGATAGCATTTAGAAATTACCATCCACGGGCAAGGAGCTTCAGAAGTTTAGGACTTAGTTTTTAGCAGTCCAAACACCTACTCACATACCTACTCCCTAACTCATTCATCCAACCCATGTTTATTGAGTGTCTGCCAGGCTGGGCGCTGTGCTGGGTGCTGCTCTCATGGTGCCTGCGTTCTCATTCTTATAAATAGTAGAAGAAAATTTTAAACCCACAGAGTTGAATAAGAATCTTTAAATAGTAGTCCAGTGATTTCCCCATTCATTGATTTACCATCCTTCTGACTTACTCAGTAATATCTGCTTAGCTCCTATTAGGTATGAGGTGATGTTTCAGACATTAGGAGAAGGGGCTTGAATGGGACATTATCATGTCATCTGAGGGCACAAGTATAATAATAAGACAAATAACGCCCATGGGCCCAAGGGAAGTGATGGCAGTATAACTGTGATAGTAGGGTGTGAATGTGGTAGTCCAGGGTGCCTGTGGAAGTGAGTGGAGGGGTAATACAATGTGACTGTGGTACATAAGGTGAATGTGGTGGCGTAGGATGACTGTGGTAGTACAGGGAGATTGCAGTAGTGAGTGAATGGTAGTACAATGTGAGGCAGTAGTACTGGTGACTGTGATAGCATAAGGTGAATGTGGTAGTCTAGTTGACTGGGGTAGTCCAGGATGAATGTGGTAACATAGGGTGACTGGCAGCACAGGGTGAGTGTGGTAGCATTGGGTGATGGCTGTGGTAGCATAGCATGAAGGTAGTCATATAGGGTGATTGTGGTAGTATGTTGTGAATATGGTAGTATAGGATGAATTTGGTAGTTTTGGGTCTTGGGCAGAAAATGGCTTACTTTTCCTGAAAGTGAGTGAGGGCTTCTCCAAGCAGGGGGCATTTGTGCTCAGACTTGAAGGATACACTTGGGGTATAAGAGGAGCAACGTGGGTCCTAGTCAAATGTGAGCTAGTTTAATAAAAGAAGGAGGTTTGGGCACATACCAAGGTTTCCTGGAACCAGGCAATAGGGTCTCCTGAGGCCTGGGACCCGGAGCTGGACAGAATCTGGAAAGGAAGGCAGAGCTTTCCTCTGACTCCTCAAAGCTGTGACATCTATCTCTCCTCTGCCTGCGTGTCAGGTTCCTGCCTCTCCTGTAGAGCAGACTTCTAGACTTCCCTACCCCTGTGGAGGAAAGGCCCACTTGCAGATCTTGAGCTGGCCCGTCTATGAGTGAAGCAACCAGCAGAAACTGACTCATTCATTTTAGGATCAAATCCACATTCTTGGGAGAAAAAATTCGGACTGACCCTCTGGAGTCAGGTGTCCACCTGTTAATCATGCTTCTCCAGAGCACCAGTAGGATATAGGTACATAGGTAGGTAGGAGTTAGATAGAGATCTATGAGACGGGATTTATGAGGGAATTTGCTTATGTCATCACAAGGCTGAGTAGTCCCACGGTATGCCATCTGTGAGCTGGTGAACCAAAGAAACTGATAGCATGGCTTCGTCTAAAGTCAGAGGCTGAGAACAAGGAGACCCGATGGTGTAACTCTCAGTCAGAGGCTGAAGGCCTGAGAACCTGGGGAGCTGCTGGTATAAGGCCTGGAGTCCAAAGGCCAGAGAACCTAGAGTTCTGATGTCCAAGGGCAGGAGAAGATGGGTGTCCCACCTCCAGAAGAGAGAGAGCAAATTGTCCTTCCTCTGCCTTTTTTTTCTATTTGGGCCCTCAACCAACTGGTTGGTGCTTGCACATTGGGTGAGGGCTGATCTTCCTTACTCAGTCTACTGATTCAAGTGCCAGTCTTTTCCAGAAATATTCTTACAGACAGATCCAGAAATAATGCTTTATTGGCTATCTGGGTATCCCTTAATCCAGTCACATTAACACCTAAAACTAATCATCAAAAGTTCACACCTTGTCAACTTGGCACACTTACCCATCTTTTTTTTTTTTTGAGATGGAGTCTTGCTCTGTCACCTAGGGTGGAGTATAGTGCCATGATCTCAGCTTACTGCAACCTCTGCCTCCTGGGTTCAAGCTATTCTTCTGCCTCAGCCTTCTGAGTAGCTGGGACTACAGGCATGCACCACCACGACCGGCTAATTTTTGTATTTTTAGTAGAGACAGAGTTTCACCACACTGGCCAGGTGGTCTCAAACTCCTGCCTCGTGATCCGCCCCCCTTGGCCTCCCAATGTGCTGGGATTACAGGCGTGAGCCACCACGCCCAGCCACATTTACCCATCTTCTTAAAGCCATAGTTCCACCTAACATGATACAACTATCCTACACGCAATAAAAGTGCACCAGTTCCTTCCCCAGAAGAGGAGGTAAAGTCTTTGAGTGATGTTTACTCTTCTCCCGATATCCCATAAGTTAAATAATGTAAAATTAACGATACTTAACTGCTGATATAAAGTCAATATATTTTATGTTACCTGATACAATAATAAGAGAGGAAATAAAATAAATATGTCTGGGCCCCAGGCCACAGGAGACCCTATTGCCTGGTTCCAGGAAACCCTGGTATGTGCCCAAACCTCCTCCTTTTGTTAAACTAGCTCACATTTGACAAAAGAGGGAGGAAATACTCATGGCAATTACGGCTCTCATTTCTGTAACTGGTCATAGGGTCTTAGATGGTATTTATAACTATCATCTTCTACCATCCATCCTGTATTCTCTTTGCTTCTAGCAAGCAGTTCGGCTTGATTCTTTACCTAATGTGATGACTCAAAACTTATTCCTGAAGGCTCTGGGCCATTCATAGTCCTGGCTAGATTGGGTTATCATAGTTCCCCATTGACCTTAACCACAGGGCATGGTAATATTAAGAGATGGCCCAAGGAATTGCCTGTATTTCAGAAATACTTACCTCCTTACCTCCATTGTGGAGTAGTAGTCCAATTTCTCCTTGGTAGTCCAGATCAATCACTCCAGCCAACACCATAACTCCCCTGACTCAGAGGTGTGCGGAGCCCAAAGTGGCTAGGTGCGAGTCTCAACTTCCAGTTCAATGGAATCATTGTTGTGTCTGCTAGTGAAAGCATTCTTCCCTCTGGAAATAAGACCTCTATGGCAGCCGGGCATAAAGCCATGGGAAAAGGAAGCAACAATTGTGCTAGTAGGTCATTAGGGGTCATGGTGTGTGGTGCCACTCCCATTTCCACCCCTTGATTCCTGGACCTCTACATCCTGGCAATGGGAGAAACAGTACCGTGTATTAGATGCTGATTCAGAGCTTATACAGTCTTCTGGAGAATCTTGCCCCTACGAAGTATTATCACCTATCATACTATAACCGTGTCTTCAAAAGGCCATCCCATCATTCTATCAAGCCAGCTGCTTCAGGATGGTAGGGAACATGGAAAGACCAGTGAATTCCAGGAGCATGAGCCCATTGCTGTACTTTGGCTGTGAAGTGTGTTCCTTGGTCAAAAGCAATGCTGTATGGAATACCATGATGGTAGATAAGACATTCTTTAAGTCTACAGGTGGTAGTTACAGCAGAAGAATTATGTGCAGAGAAGGTAAAAATCCATATCCAGGCTGGGTGCCATGGCTCACACCTGTAATCCCAGCACTTTGGGAGGCTAAGGCAGGAGGATCACGTGAGGTCAGGAGTTTGAGACCAGCCTGGCCAACATGGCAAAACCCCATCTCTACTAAAAATAAAAAATTAGCCAGGCATGGTGGTGTATGTCTGTAATCCTAGCTACTTGGGAGGCTGAGGCATGAGAATCATTTGAACCCAGGAGGCAGACCTTGCAGTGAGCCAAGATCGTGCCACTGCACTCCAGCCTGGGTGACAGAGTGAGATCTGTATCAAAAAAAAAAAAAAAACAAAAAAAAAAACCATATCTAGAGTAACTGCCTGTTGAAATAAGAAAAAAACACTGCCCCTTTCATGATTGGAAGCTGTTAATCAACTTGCCACTGGGTAGCTGGCTGAGCATCCCTGGGAATGATGCCATATCAGAGGCTCAGTGTTGGTTTCTGCTGCTGGCAGTTTGAGTACTCAGTCTCAAAGTGGCGATGGCCAGGTTGGCCTTGGTGAGTGGAAGTCCATGTTGTTCAGCCCATGAATAACCTCCATCCCTGCCACCATGGCCATTTTGTTCATGAGCTTATTTGGTTTATGAAAGCAAACTCCTTCTAGTGGACCTTATGAACAGGTATAGAGAAAAGGCATTTGCCATATCAAGAGCTGCATACCAGGTACCAGGAGAAGTATTGATTTGCTCAAGCAATGAAACCACATCTGATACAGCAGGTGCAGCTGGAGTTTCCACTTGGTTAACCTTATGATAATCCATTGTCATTCTCCAAGATCCTTCTGTCTTCTACACAGGACAATTAGGAGAGTTGAATGCAGATGTGGTGGGAATAATTATACCTGCATCTTTCAAGTCCTTGACAGTGGCACTAATATCTGCAATCCCCTCAGGGATGCAGTATTGCTTTGATGTATTATTTTCCTAGGTACACGCAGCTCAAATGGCATTCATTTGGCCTTTCCTACAATAATAGCCTTCACTCCACAGGTTGGGGAACTAGTGTGGGGATTCTGCCAACTGCTAAGTACATCTATGTCAACTAAACATTCAGAAGCTGGGGAAGTAACCACAGGATGGTTTTAGGGACCCACTGGACCCACTGTAAGTCAGAGCTGAGCTAAAACTTTGTGGATCACCTGACCTCTAGAAGCCCCTACTCTGGCTGGAGGGCCACAGTGATGTTCGGGTCTCCTGGAATCAGTGTCAGTTTAGAGCCAGTATCCAGTAGTCCCTGCAATGTCTGTTTCCTTTTCCCCAATGCACAGTTACCCTGGTAAAATGCTGTAGGTCCCTTTAGGGGAAGCTGAAAGAAATATTAACAATATAAATTTTTGGTAGTGTACCAGGGTCCTTCCTTGAGGGGATGTGGCCTCGCCTTCATTCAAGGGTTTCTGGGTCTTTAAACTGGCTCAAATCTGGGAATTGATTGAGAGGCCATGATTCTGTTTTTATGATTCAAGTTTGACTCTCATTGACTTGACCTGGAAGATTTCTACTTACACAAATCAAGTAAGAATTTAGTAGGCTTCCTATTTTACTTCTAAAAACTCCATGATTAACTGGCCAATGTCATAGTCTACACAAGTCAGACCATTCTTTTTATTTTTATTTTTTTGAGACTTATTGCCCAGTCTGGAGTGCAATGGTGCGATCTTGGCTCACTGCAACCTCCACCTCCTGGGTTCAAGCAATTCTCCTGCCTCAGCCTCTCGAATTGCTGGGATTACAGATTACAGGTGCCCACCACCAAGCCTGGCTAATTTTTGTATTTTTAGTAGAGACAGGATTTCACCATATCGGCCAGACTGGTCTCGAACTCCTGATCTCAGGTGATCCGCCCACCTTGGCCTCCCAAAGTGCTGGGATTACAGGAGTGAGCCACTGTGCCCAGCCAAGCCAGACCATTCCAATTGCTGCTTTGACTTTCTGTCCATTATGGTGACTATGTGCACCTTGCCTTTGGTAGCTGAGTGCCACCACTTGGCTCCTGGCATCCCAATTACTCCCATTGCATTTAAGTTTTCCAACTGAGTGACTGTGGTTTCTACTGTAAGATCCAGCTACAGAGAAGAGCAGTCATGGCACTTTCAAGGCATTTGAAAGCTGAGAGTAATCCCAGCACTTTGGGAGGCCAAGACAGGAGGATTACTTGAGCCTAGGAGTTCAAGACCAGCCTGGGCAACATAGTGAAACTCTGTCTCTATGAAATAAAATTAAAATAAATTTAAAAAGAAAGCCAGTTTTACTTAAGAATATCTTCGATAAGCAGTAAAAATTATTGATATTATTAAACTACTACTCTTGAATGCCCATGTTTTTGATATTCTGTGAACCAGAATGGGACAGATGCACAAAGCACTGCTGTTGCACACTGAAATACTCAATGGTTGTCTTGGGGGAAAGCACTTATGCAATTGAGATGTGAGCTGAATGAACTAGATGCTTTTTCACAGAATTTTAGTTTTACTTGAAAGAATGACTGACAGCCCCACTATCATTACTCAGGCTTGAGTATTGGGCAGACATTTTCTTGAACAAAGTGAGCCTGTCACTTTAAGGAAAATAAATGGACAATGTTTATTGCCAATAATAATATTCAAGCTTTCAGATGAAAATTAGAATTTTGGAAAACTTGTATCTGCCATTATGAACTTTCCATCTTTCCACTACTTGAAGACTTCTGATACTGCTGGTGGTGATATTAACAAATGTAGGCTTTTCAAATCTGTATTGCATAATAAAATGTGTCAACATTTGGAAGATCTGTATAACTTAGTGAACTACTATTTTCCAAATGACCAAAGGATGATGTTACAAAATCATGTATGAGTAAAAGGTCCATTCAAAGTACAAGATAAACCAATGGATTTTGAGGTAATGCAATATGAAAAGTTCACTGATATGGTTTCAGATTTCACACTGCAAAACTAACCTTTAAGAAATGATCACTTGTCCAGTTTAGATGTAGTATCAAAGAGGAATATCCACAATTATCTGGAAAAAGCTTTTAAAATACTCCTCTTTTTCTACTATGTATATGTGAGGCTGGAATTTTTTTAATATACATAAACTAAAATTTATCTCACAGATTGAACGCAGAAGCAGATGTGAGAATCTAGCTGTCTTCTATTTTAAGCCAGACATTAAAGAGATTTGCAAAAATGTAATTTTGGGGGAAAATATAGTTATTTTTCATAAAATACATTATTTATGTCAATGTGTAATGGTTTATTATTCTTCTTTAATGAATTAATAAACCTTTTAATTTTTTTTCAGTTTTCATTTCTAGTACAGTAAATATCAATGGATATAGCCTACATACACAAAACTTTGTAGGATCTCAATATGCTTTAAGAGTGCAAAAAGGATGTGCAAAGAGTGGTTGAAATTACTAGAAGTTTATTTCAAGACAGATTCTCGCTGTGTTGCCCAGCCTAGAGTGCAGTGGAGCAATCTTGCCTTACTGCAACCTCCACCTTTCGGGCTCAGGCATTTCTCATGGCTCAGCCTCCTGAGTAGCTGGGATTACAGGTGGGCGCCACTACACCCAGCTAATTTTTGTATTTTTTAATAGAGACAGGGTTTCTCCATGTTGGCCAGGCTGGTCTCAAACTCCTGGCCTCAAGTGATCCTCCCACCTTGGCCTCCCAAAGTGCTGGGATTACAGGTGTGAGCTACCACCCCCAGCCTATTTCTTGCCCATTCAACAGTCCAAGGTGGAAAGGTCACCGGGCAGCTCTCCCTCACACTCTGATCAGGCACTCGAGCTTTTTTGTTGCAGCTCTACCAACTCCTAGAACCTGGCAATCTTTTGTCTTCAGTTAGTAGGAAGGGAAAGAGCGTGGAAGAAGGCACTTGAAAGGTTTTTGCAGGCTAGGCCTGGAAATAGTACCCATCCACTCCCCACATTCTGTCGGCCAGAACTCAGCTACGTGGCCATTCTTAATTCAAAGGAGGCTGAAAAATATAATCTAACTGTGTGCCCAGGAAGAAGAGGAAATAGATTGGGATGAGGGGCTCATAGTTTCTGACGTGACATCCCAGGTTCCTGGTAAAAATTTATTCATTACATTATTCCAGATTTCTCAATATCTATCTATTTATATACTTTCAAAACTTGTTATTTGAAATAATAATAGACTCATAGAGAGTTGCCATAAATTATTCCATCTCTCCTTAATCTCTATTTATATATTTTTAAAAACTTGTTATTTGAAATAATAATAGACTCATAGTTTCAAAAATAACATGAAAAGTCTCATGTACACTAAACCCAGCTTCCCCGCAAAAAGACATCTTACATAGCCATAGTACAATAACAAACTAGGACACTGACATTGGTACATTACTCTTAACTAGACTATGAGTCTCATTTTGGTTTTGTGATTTTTTTTAGGCCTACATTCATTTGTGTGTGTGTGTGTGTGTGTGTGTGTGTGTGTGTGTGTTAAATTTTAAAAACTGTCCTATATTATGTGTTTTAATATTTTCTTTTTCTTTTTTAAAGACAGCATCTCACTCTGTTGCCCAGGCGGAGAGCAGTGGCGCAGTCATAGCTCACTGCAGCCTCAAAGATTTGGGTTCAAGCAGTCCTCCCACTTTAGCCTCCTGAGTAGCTGTGACTACAGGTTTGTGTCACTACCCTTGGAGAATTTATTTTTATTTTTATTTTTTGTGGAGATGGGGGTCTCACTATGTTGCTCAGGCTGGTCTCGAACTTCTGGGCTTAAGTGATCTTCCTGACTCAGCCTCCCAAAATGTAGGGATTACAGATGTGATCCACCACATCCAGCTTGTTTTAATATTTTGAGGTGCCTCAGATCCATTTTTGAAAGTAAGTAGGCTATAAACTATAAAGAAATAAAAAGTGTCAAATGGGATGTATCATTAATCTTCCTGACATTTCTGTAAATAGGCAGGGTGGGAAGGGACTCGTTTTTGCAAACCTTGAGACTTGTGCAGCCTGGTGCTGTAGCAAGAGTGTGGAAATTGGAGACAAACATAACTGGGGGTTCAAGTCCAACCTCTACCACTTCCCAGCTGAAAAATTTAGGGTGTGTCACTTAACCTTTCTGAGCCCTCTCTACCCATCTGCAGCATAATAAAGTATAGTCTACCTTACAGGCTGCTGTAAGGACAAAATGGGATTATGCACGTACAGAATGTAGCACAATGCCTGGCACAATTGTAATTACAATTGGGAGCATTAAAGAAGTACAGAGGATGCTGAGGCTTCTCCTAGGGTATCTGGCAAATTGGTGCAGGAAGTGGGATTCTGAAACCCAGCTCCAGAAAAGCAGTGCATTCAGTGAAAATGTAAGGTCCTAACATCTTTGGGCTCGAGAAACCCTTTCTAAAGTCAAAATTTCCAAGGGGCCCTCCTCCCTGCCTTCTACCTATAACTGTTGCCCTCTTGGCCTGTGAGTTCATGATTCTGTGGATTCTGTGATTCCATGGATTCTGAAATTAAAGGCTGAAAGGAGACTTTGATGTCATTGGGTAGACACCTCAATTTACGGTTGAGGAAACTGGGGCTCAGAAAAGTGAAGGCTATTGCCAAAATCACAGCAAGCTAGACATCAAGGTCAACAGAATGTAGGCTCCTCCCTGCTGGCCCTGAGCCCTTCCCATGACACCATGACCCTTAACCTTTCCTTGCCCTTCCTCTTCTTGCCTTCCCTCCTTTTCTGAGCCCCACTTCAAACACCTGGGTTTTATGTCTTCTTGGTCTGAACTTCCTTGATTTGAGATCTTCTCACTAATGTTCATTCATTCCTTCAAGCAACTCTTTTCCCATCCATCATTTACCAACTGCCTTTTGGTGCCCAGTGCTAGTTTCGGCGTCAAATGTACTGCTGGTTGTCAGAAGGTCCTAGTGAATGAAGGCTTTGTGCTACTTTCAGTATCGAGACTAGTCCCCAGACGTAGAAGGAAGTCACTCCGTCAGTGTTGCTTGAGAATAACTAATGATGTGTCAGCATCTTTGTTTAGGGGTTCTGAAGTCCTACAGGCTTCAGAGTGATTTTAAATCAGCCAGAAAGCGTATTTACATTGCTTGATCTGTATTTGGCGTCTAGTAACCTTATTTATCTACCTAGTCAGCTTGAAAGTCACATTTTTCCGTAGGACACAGTTAAAGCAACCCAGTGAAAGCCTCGTGTTTGATTAATCAAGGAGAAAATAGACATGCACAGACCAAAGACTGAGCTGTGTCATTTTAGCCTCTGGGTTCATGAGTTTTCTTAAGGACCTTTTAATGCCCTATCTTAAGAACTGCTGAAGAAAGATGAAATATTAAAACTTCTTCAAGACAAACCCGTATAAAATCGAAGCTCTCATCACATTCTTTCCAGGAAGCAGATACTGTAAAATCTTAAATCAACCATTGGCATTGTGTTTCTAAAATAACACACGTTTCCTTTTCATGTTATTTCAGTTGTTAAAGAGACAGATGAAACTGATAGTTATTTGGCTAAAAATATTTGTGTTGGGTGATGTCCCTACCCTGTCCTTGCACCCAGGAACTTTACTCAACAAATATTTATTAAATGATATTGTAGTGGAGTGTAGTATTTCTCAAGCTGTGGGCAACTATATATTGAAGGGTCATGAACTCAATATATTGGGCTGTAAGCAGCATTTTAAAAAATGAAATAGAATCAAATACGATTGAATAGAAAACATCAGTGCAAATTAGTGTAGCAAAGGTAAATATTGTTACATGAAACTTTTGATTGAGTTACCTATGTGTGTTGTGTGTGTGCATATGAGTATTGCACTGTGCTATAAGGTTTATTTTTTTTTAATTATGGGTCAACATAAAAAATGTTTGGAAAACACTGAAGTAGCAGTTAAGAGCATACGCTCTTAACTGGAGTTAGACAGCAAGAATTCAAATTCTGGCTCCATCATTTTCTAGATGAAGGATTATTGGCAGTTTGCTTAAGCTGTCTGTGAAATGGGGATTATGACAGAACTAACGCAGAGTCAATTCATCCACATAGGCACAATGACTAGGACCCAAAATCTTTTTAGGATCTATTAAATGATTTGATTTCTTTTAAAATCAGAAAAAAATGAACCTTTTGCATTGAAGAAAATGTTTTAATTTTTTCTCACATCATAAAAAATTAATTTTCTAGGGTACTCAAACATTTATGATGGTGTGAGGGGCTCATGAAGGTAAAAGTGTGTAGGGCTAATAAAAGTCACAATGCAAGCATGAACTGACCGAATAGGTAGGGTGACCAACCTGTCCCAGTTTTCAATGGAAAGTCCAGCATCCCAAAATCCCCACTCAGTCCCAGGCAAATCAGGGTGATTAGTCACCCTGTTAATAAGGTCGTTATGAGGATGAAAGTAGATGATTGTTGACAAAATTAGGAGATTGCTTTGCACATCAGTGTTCAATATATGCATTAATATGTGTCAGGCACTGTGCCAGCCTTTGAGAATTTTAGGATGAATACGGCACAGGGCGGCCTCAAAATGCAGTGGAGGATAGTGGTTGAGAGTGTGAACTCAGGACCCAGACAAACCTGGTTCAAAGCCTAGTTCTACTACTTACTAGCTTTGTGATTTGGGGCATGTTACTTAACCTTGCCGTGCCTCAAATTCCTTATGTATGTGATGAGTATGGTTATAATTGCACCCACTTCACTGGAAAAGTGTAGATTTCAATGAGTTGGTACTTTTAATGTACTTAGAGCATGTCTAGCATATGGTAAGCATAATATTAGCTACTTAAGTATATACCAATTAGAGTCCTATTTTCATCAACTTGGACTGCTATAACAAAATATAGACTGAGTGGCTTAAACACCAGATATTTATTTCTCACAGTTCTGGAGACTGAAG
This sequence comes from Homo sapiens, assembly GCF_000001405.40. Lineage (NCBI taxonomy): Eukaryota > Metazoa > Chordata > Mammalia > Primates > Hominidae > Homo > Homo sapiens. The sequence continues at coordinate 133,504,603 of NC_000003.12, read as the reverse complement.
TCCAGGAACAAGGTCTGGATGGCTCAGTTTGTGGCGAGGGCTCTTCTCCTGGCTTGCAGATAGTGGCCTTCTCATTGTGTCCTCACCTGATGGAAAGAGAGAGGAAGCATCCTCTCTGGTGTCTCTTCTTATAAGGGTACTAATCCCATCACGAGGCCCCTACTCTTATGACCACATCTAACCCGATTACCTCCCAAAGCTCCATCTCCAAATATCACCACATTGGGGTTTTGGGCTTCAGCATATGAATTTTTGAGGGATACAGTTCAGCTCATAGCAGGTCCCTTCAGGGTAGTTCTCTAAAGGTAACATAAACCCTAAGAACATGTTTATAAAGAAAAATTTCTAAAGGTATTTGGTTTGATTTGCTCAGCCATTCAAGAACTCAAGCTCTGGCCTGGCGTGGTGGCTCACGCCTGTAATCCCAGCACTTTGCGGGGCTGAGGCGGGTGGATCACCTGAGGTCAGGAGTTGGAACCAACCTGGCCAACATGGTGAAACCCTGTTTCTACTAAAAGCACAAAAAATTAGCCAGGCACGGTAACAGGCACCCTTAATCCCAGCTACTTGGGAGGCTGAGGCAGGAGAATTGCTTGAACCCGGGAGGCGGAGGTTCCAGTGAGCCAAAATCACGCCATTGCACTCCAGCCTGGGTGAGAGACCGAGACTCTGTCTCAACAACAACAACAACAACAACAACAAAGAGCTCAAGTTCTTCCTATCCTTCTCTCTGCTCTGCTCCCCTTGGCATAATATCCATCTTCTCATGGTCACAACATGGTTGCCACAACCCCAACCATCATACTGCTATGTCCAGAGCAGGAAGCAAGGAATGTAATATTCAAAAGTCTCTTCTTTGATAAGACATTTCTCAAGGTATATTTCTTTTTTTAAGAAATGAAATATTTCCCAGAAGCTTCTCAGCAGATTTCTCTGTACATCCTAATGACCAGAAATGAGTCAGGTGCTCAGCCTTATCACTCACTGGCAGAGGACAATGAGATTTCCATGACTGGTTTAGACTAGTCATGATTCCTCCAAATAACATTGGTCTTCTGTTAGCAAGGAAGAAGAGGGAATGGGTATGTTTCTGACAATATCTGCCACTGAGATGCTCACAGATTACCTAGGAAGCCAGACAAAACACTAACAGGTAGTACAGCACGCAAAGGTTGGCACTACTGGGTGGCAACAAAGATTAATGGGGACAGAAGCCAGGCACGATGGCTCATTCCTGGGAGGCTAAGGCAGGAGGATCGCTTGAGGATCCAGGAGTTTGAGGCTGCAGTGAGCTATGATCATGCCACTGCACTCCAGCCTGGATGACAGAGTGAGACCCTGTCTTTTAAACAAAATTTACTTTTATACTAAACAAGCACACATATACTGTATTGCAAGGTAAGAGTCAAGATTTGCAGGACTAAAGAAGATGGAACAGAAGACTTCAAAGAGATTATGAGTTCGTGGGGGGCTCCTCTGGACTATGAGCCTAGTCATCCAGGGTCTACTAAAGGACACTTACCGTCCTCTAGAATTAGGAGTTGGGTTTGTTGGTGGAAAAGTTGCAAAGCTCTGGAGCAAGTAAACTAGGGCACCAGGAAAATAACTCCCTGGCCCATATTGGCCTGTCGGTGCCTGAGACCTCTTTGAACTAAAAACCTTCTTCTTTACTAGAAAGTGATCTTCTGAGGGGATTTCACAAAGAATATCATTTATTTGTAACTTAGTAGGAGTGTATCAAAACACACTATGCTGGATTGTTCTATTGTCAACTTGGTTGAACTGGGAACTACATTTCCAGAATCCTCTTCCTTCCTTCCTTCCTTTCTCTCTCTCTCTCTTTTCTTTCTTTTTCTTTCTTTCTTTTCTTTCTTTCTTTTTCTTTCTTTTCTTTCTTTCTTTTTTTCCTTCGTTCCTTCCTTCCTTCCTTCCTTCCTTCCTTCCTTCCTTCCTTCCTTCCTTCCTTTCCTTCCTTCCTTCCTTCTTTCTTTCTTTCTTTTATTTATTTATTTTTTTTGAGACAGAGTCTCGCTCTGTCACCCAGGCTGGAGTGCAATGGCACAATCTTGGCTCACTGCAAGCTCCGCCTCCCGGGTTCACGCCATTCTCCTGCCTCAGCCTCCCGAGTAGCTGGGACTACAGGCGCCCGCCACCACACCCGGCTAATTTTTTGCATTTCTAGTAGAGACAGGGTTTCACTGTGTTAGCCAGGATGGTCTCGATCTCCTGACCTCGTGATCTGCTCGACTCGGCCTCCCAAAGTGCTGGGATTACAGACGTGAGCCACTGTGCCCGGCCTCTTTCTTTCTTCCTTCCTTCCTTCCTTCCTTCCCTTCCCTTCCCTTCCCTTCCCTTCCCTTCCTTCCTTCCTTCCTTCCTTCCTTCCTTCCTTCCTTCCTTCCTTCCTTCCTTCCTTCCTTTCTTTCTTTCTTTCTTTCTTTCTTTCTTTCTTTCTTTCTTTCTTTCTTTCTTTCACAGAGTCTTGCTCTTATTTCCAGGTTGGAGTGCAATGGCACGATCTCAGCTCACTGCAACCTCCACCTCCCCGGTTCAAGCGACTCTCCTGCCTCAGCCTCCTGAGAAGCTGGGATTACAGGTGCCCACCACCATGCCCAGCTAATTTTTGTATTATATATATATATTTTAAGTAGAGATGGGGTTTCACTATGTTGGTCAGGCTGATCTCAAACTGCTGACCTCAGGTGATCTGCCCACTTCAGCCTCCCAAAGTGCTGGGATTACAAGCATGAGCCACTGCACCCGGCCCAGAATCCTCTTTCTTAGTGGTCTCAGATTAGAGTTCGCTAAAAGAGTAATTTGCACAAAATTTGGGAGGTGGAGGAGAAGCTGCAGCCACTCCTCTCAGAAGGTCATTGTGGTTAGGTGCAGTGGCAGATGCAGAAGTGCCCAGTGGGTTCCAGCTTGTCCTTGCCCTCCACACTCTGTGACCAGCTTTCCTATCAAGTGCTGGCCCCGATGACCAGCAGCAGCCCCAGCCTTATCAGCTGATGCTTGGTGTGGACCCATAGCCAATGCAGGCAGGTGCTTTTTGTAGACTTCTCTAACAGCTTCTTGAATTTGACAGTGGGATCTACTTCTCAGATCCAGATGGATGACTCTCTGATCTCACTTCTTTCCAACCTTCACTTCCCAGCTCCCCCCATCATTGTGTAAGGTCTAATTCCAAATCCCTCATCCTAGAGCTCTTTGTTTTTTTATTTTTTTAGACGGAGTTTCACTCCTGTTGTCCAGGCTGGTGTGCAATGGCATGATCTCAGCTCACTGCAACCTCCGCCTCCCAGGTTCAAGTGATTCTCCTGCCTCAGCCTCCTGAGTAGCTGGGATTACAGGCGTCTGCCAACACACCCAGCTAATTTTTTGTATTTTTAGTAGAGAGAGAGTTTCACCACGTTAGCCAGGCTGGTTTCGAGCTCCTGACCTCAGGTGATCCGCCCACCTCAGCCTGCCAAAGTGCTGGGATTATAGGCATGAGCCACAGCGCCTGGCCCCTTATCCCAGAGCTCTTTGTAGTTCTGCTTCTCTGATCGAACTTGGATTGATAGACATAATTTCCTTTTGATGCTTCACTCAACCCAGAGGAAAGAGAAGATTTGATAGAAAATAAAAAGAGGTAATTTTAAAGCTGTGGCAGTGTTTGAGAAGGTGAGCCTGGCTAGGACACGGCAGTGGGAAGTTGTATGCCCAGAGAGCAGTGAGGACCAACAGGTGGTGGCAATATCGAAATGGCATGGAGAAGCGAAAGAATATCAAAGGAAAAATGGTGTCTGCTTCCTGCCTCCACCAGGACCTGCCTCTGAGGACAGCTCTCATTCTCTTCTCGCTGTCAAGATGGTTCGTTGAACAATGACATGTCACAGTTGATGCTTTCAGCCCCAAGAGAGAAACAGAGTCAGAGAAAAAGTACAAAGGCAGGAGCAGTGGAAAATAAAACACCAGGCAAGAAGAAAATCACACATGGACTTATTAATCTAGACAGGACTTTAGAGAATTTCTCTTGTCACATGACTATAGAACCTCATCTTGTTTTATCGTCTTCCTATTTGGGACCATAGAAGAAAGAGTAATAAATAAAGAAATCTCTCCTTTTTTTTTTTTTGTTAAAACAATTACCAAGAATATTGCCTATTCCATTGTGCATGATCCTATATATAAGGATTCATGTAAAAATTGTCCTTTCAGAGTTCAAAGGTGGGAAGAAATGAGTCTTCCAACACTTTGGAACACAGTCATTTATAAGGCAAAAAGAAGTATGACATCTCTTTCATTTTATTCTCTGCCCTAGCTACCAGGAAACCTAGAGATATGTTTTCTGCTCAGATGAAGGAATATTCTTTAGCTCAAGCTGATATTATCATTCCGTACTCCATTCCTTTGAGAGTCTCAAACATCCTTGGACAAGTCTCTTTGTGGCTGCCTAAGGCAACTTTGTCTTTAATGAATTAGCTAAAGGTCCTGCCGCTTGCCTTCCCTTTTTGTTTTAGAGACACCCTAGAGAGGAAATATTTTATTTCTGATACTTGACATCATTCCTTTCCATTTCACCCAAGAAATCAAAAGGTTTTTGACCAAGAAGAAAATAAATGAGAAGGCAGAGGCCACGTTTCCAATTTGAACATAAATAAAATTATGCTTGCACATGGGCACAAAAAATGAGATTATTTTTGGTATGAGATACAACTAAGATATGGATCACCTTCAGGATTTTTTTTTGCGTTGAACTGTTAGAAAAAGCCTCGTAGTTTGTTTCTAAACAGTCAATAAAGAGCTTTCACAGTCATATGATGAATTTTCTTATAGGTTACCATAGAGACTATGAAAGTATAAAAACGGCTTTCCAATTGAATCATATATGGGTGATCTTATTCTTTTCCAATTTTTTGAAAATGTAGTTATATTGTTTGTAATCAAAATTAAATTTATAAAGAAAACATTGTTGTGACAACAAACTGAATTACCACTTGTAAGGTTGAAGTCCATAAATTTAATCTTAACAGTTCTGTCCTCAGGCTACAGAAAAGTGGGTTAAAATCAACATGTAGAATTTAACCTGAAGCCCTGAATAGAATTCAAACTGGTTCCAGATACCGTGAACACAATGTCAAGGAGAATTCACTCTTCACTTTGTTAGAGAGATGAAAGACTTAGATAACACCGCCCAGTTTAACTGTCAGTAAAATGGCAGGAAATGTGTAGTAACTATGTAAACATATTATAGCAAACCCAAATACCTGCCACAGCACACACACTATGTACACACACCAGCATACACACACAGTATAAGCACCATGAAAACGAGGACTTTTTCTATTTTGTGGTATCACCAGAGCCCAAAAACTGTCTTACAGTAGTAGGTACTCAAATATATGTTGAATAAATGATTAGAACGCAAAAGGCATACAAAGATACCAGTACAGAAGAACATAACTCTCTAACAAGGGCACGTTTTCCACAAATGCTTTGCACTATAAGAACACATAGAACAGGCCGGGCACGGTGGCTCATGCCTGTAATCCCAGCACTTTGGGAGGGCGAGGCAGGTGGGTCACCTGAGGTCAGGAGTCCGAGACCAGCTTGGCCAACATGGCGAAACCCTGTCTCTACTCAAAAATACAAAAATTAGCTGGGCGTGGTGGCAGGTGCCTGTAATCCTGGCTACTCAGGAGGCTGAGGCAGGAGAATTGCTTGAACGCAGGAGATGGAGGTTGCAGTGAGCTGAGATTGTGCCACTGCACTCCAGCCTGGGTGACAAGAGTGAGAGTCTGTCTCAAAAAAAAAAACCCACAAAAAGCCCCCCAAAAAACCCCACATAGAATATAATTTTAAAATAATAAGATCTATGAGATGATAAGCTAAGACAACAGAATGTGTTGAAGAGGATATTGCAGAGCTAAAGAAAAATTAACATTATTAGTTATGTAATAAATAAACAATATAGTTAGAAACTGAATAGACATGGCTGGAAGCTAAATTTTGGTGGAGACACTTGGGACAACCACTTTTTTTTTTTTTTTTTTTTTTTGAGACAGGATCTCACTCTGTTGCCCAGGCTTGAGTGCAGTGGTGCAATCATAGCTCACTGCAGCCTGGAACTTCTGGGCTCAAGTGATCCTCCCCACTCAGCCTCCTGAGTAGCTGGTACTCTAGGTGGGTGCTACCATGCCTGGCTAATTATTTTGTATTATTTTTTGTGGAGACAGGGTCTTGCTATGTTGCCTAGGCTGGTTTTGAACTCATATCCTCAAGCAATCCTCCCACCTTGGCCTCCCAAAATGTTGAGATTGTAATTGGTAATCACAATTAATACAGAGAAAAGAGAGAAAAAAACTTAATTTAAATTTATTTATTATTATTTTTAAATAGTTCCCTGGTTGGTTAGAAAAATTTATTTATCTATTTACTTATTTATTTACTTATTTATTTATTTATTTTTTGAGATGGAGTTTCGCTTTTGTTGCCCAGGCTGGAGTGCCATGGTGCGATCTCAGCTCACCGCAACCTCCGCCTCCCGGACTCAAGCGAGTCTCCTGCCTCAGCCTCCCAAGTAACTGGGATTACAGGCACCCACCACCACACTCGGCTAATTTTGTGTAGTTTTAGTAGAGATGGGGTTTCACTATGTTGGCCAGGCTGGTCTCGAACTCCTGATCCACCCGCCTTGGCCTCCAAAAGTGCTGGGATTACAGGCATGAGCCAACGCGCCCAGCCAGAAAAAAAATTTTTTAATCTAGAAAGAAAATGATAGACATAGAAAAGGGCAAAGATAATCCTTTGATGGCTTTGAAGTAGAGAGTCTAACAAATAAAACCAGAAAAATATATTCAGAGATATAATACAAAACAAATGCCCCAAGAAGAAAAAAGAAGAGAATTTTCAGGCAGATAAAACATAGCATTCATTTGGAAAAATTGATTAAGAATGATGCTAATCAGCCAGGCACGGCTGATTATTGTACTTTTAGTAGAGATGGGGTTTCACCAGGTTGGCCGGGCTGGTCTTGAATTCCTGACCTCAAGTGATCTGCCCACCTCAGCCTCCCAAAGTGCTGAGATTACAGGTGTGAGCCACCGTGCCCAGACTATAAAGCTTGATAAAGTAGAAATGATATGAGCAACAAACAAGAGTGAAAGAGAAGGGAAAAGGAAGAAATATACCTATGCCAATAATTACATGTTTTATAGTATAGAGAGAATTGATACTATGTAAAAATGAAACATGCACTTAAAAGTAATGTATAACATTCCAACCTCTTAACAGCTTTCATTTTTTTAAACCTATAGAAACAGAAGAATCCTATAACAACGAATATTTCCTAAGGTGAAAAAAATGTGTTAAAAGTCTAACATTTCTTTCAATTTAATTTCATTTTTTCTTGTGTTAAGTTCAAGTGAAATTAAACTAAAAACTCAGTTTTCTTAAAAAGCAGCATAAGTTGGGTATGGTGGCTCACTTCCATAATCTCAGAACTTTGGGAGGCTGAGGTGGAAGGATTGTTTGAGCCCAGGACTTCAAGACTAGCCTGGGCAACATAGTAAGACTCCGTCTCTATTTAAAATTTAAGGCCTGGTGTGGTGGTTCAAACCTGTAACCCCAGCACTTTGTGGGGCCGAGGCGGGTGGATCGCTTAAACACAGGAGTTTGAGACCAGCCTGGGCAACATGGTGAAACCCCACCTCTACAAAAAAAAAAAAAAAATTAGCCTGGTGTGGTGGTACATACCTGTAGTCCCTACTTGAGAATCTGAGATGGGAGGGCTAATTGATTGAGCTGGGGAGGTCAAGGCTGCAGTGAGCTGAAATTGCACCGCTGCACCCGCTGCACTCCAGCCTGGGTGACAGAGCAAGACCCTGTCTCAGAAAAAAAAAAAAAAACAAAATCAAAAACAACAACAACAAAAGAACAAAAACAGCATGTATAGCATGAACCTAATCTTTTATACAGTTATAAGAAAATTAGGAAATAAACATTGATACAATATTATTATCTAACTTACAGACTTTATTTAAATTCCATCAGTTGTCCAAAATGTGTCCTTTGTAACAAAAGAAAACAATTTTCTGGTCCAGGATACAATCCAGGTTCATGGGTTGCATTTAGTTGTCAGGTTTCTTTAGTTTTCTTTAATCTGCACAGTTCCTCAGTCTTCCCTTGTCTTTTATAAACTTGATGTTTTTTGGGTTGTACAGGCCAATGATTTTGTAGACTGTGCCTCCATTTGAGCTTGTCTGATGTTTTCTCAGGATTAGATTTGGATTACGCATTTTTGGTAAAAATATCATAGGAGTGATATTTTTTCCTCAATTCATCATCAGAACTGGCCTGTGGTGATGCTGCAGGGAGGGGCAGGGCAATAAATACACTGACCTCACTCTCTTTCGTCCCTCATTCTCCTGCTGGTGCTCCCTATTGCTGGAATACACTGGTGTTCAGCAGGAGGAGCACCCATTCACATAGCCCAGGTACAGAGTAGGTCCTGAAGCCAAGTGCTCAGTCCATGAGGTTTCAGGAGGAAGTCAGGAGTTGCTTTTTAGTGGAGACTAACTGACAACAGTGGTGGACATAGCCTTTCTCAAATATCCTATGACTGTTATTCTCCTACTGTGGCGTGCCAAGGGTTCTATATGTTACCTTTGTCTGCAACAGATACTTCCACAATTATTGGGCATGCTGGTCATAGGTGCAGTGGCAGGCAGCTGGCTCCACACCTCAGCTTGCTACAGATGCCTTTTTGCTCTAGGCCCTGCTCAAAACTTGCAGCCCCTCCATGTGTTCATGCTGATATAAACACACACACACCACACACACACACACACACACACACACACACACACACACAATAGGGAAGAAAGGAACATTCTTTCTTTCTTTCTTTCTTTTTTTTTGAGATGGAGTTTCGCTCTTGTTGCCTAGGCTGGAGTGCAATGGTGCAATATTGGCTCACCACAACCTCCGCCTCCCAGGTTCAAGCAATTCTCCTGCCTCAGCCTCCCGAGTAGCTGGGATTACAGGCATGTGCCACCACGCCCAGCTAATTTTGTATTTTTAGTAGAGACAGCGTTTCTCTATGTTGATCAAGCTGGTCTTGAACTCCCGACCTCAGGTGATCCTCCTGCCTTGGCCTCTCAAAGTGCTGGGATTACAGGCGCGAGCCACCGTGCCCGGCCAGAACATTTTTTCTTATAGAAGAAAGCCAACTAAAAAATGTAGAAGAAATGATGGAATTTGAAAATCACCATTTGGCAACCATAATAAGTAATAATTGACGTGGGCAGGAATCATCAATTGATGCTAAAACTAAAACTTCTGGGACAGAAAGTTTGAGGAATAACAATATTTACTCAAAATAGACTAAAAATATTTTTCCACAAGATACTTACTAATTACAAATGGAAAAACAGTAACTTTACAGTGGAGAAGCTTGGCACACGCCACCTGAACCCAGTAAACAAAATTAATATCACCAGGAGAGGGACATATTGATATCACATGCCTCCTGGTGAGTTTTATGGTATTCCAACTGAAAGTGTGCAACTTGAATCTAACCTGAGGAAATACCAGAACTCAAGTTGAGGAGTATTTTGTAAAATAACTGCCCTGTTGAGACGGATTGAACTGTGACTCCAAAAAAAGATATGTTGAAGTTTGAATCCCCACTATGTCAGAACGTGACCTGATTTGGAAATAAGAGTTGTTGCAGATGTAATTAATTAAGATGAGGTCCTACTAGAGGAGAATGGGCCTTTAATCCAATATGACAGGTATCCTTATTAGAAGAGAAGAAAAGCCACAGAGACACAGACACGCAAAGGGAGAACAACACGTGAAGACAGAGGCAGGGGCTGCAGGGCTGCAGCTGCAAACCAAGGCACACCAGGGGCTGCCGGCAACCACTGGAAGCTGGGAATATGCAAGAAAAGATTCCCCCTACAGGTTTCTGGGGGGAGCACAGCCCCGCTGACACCTTGATTTTGGACTTCTAGCTATCAGAGCAGTGGGAAAATAACTTTGTGCTGTTTAAAGCCATCCGGTTTGTAATCATTTGTTATGGCCGGCCTAGGAAACTAATACATTTGTGTTTGTCAGAATGCCAATGTCATGAAATGCAGATGGAAAGGCTGAGGACTTCTTCAGATTCAAGTAGACTAAAGAGACATAACAACTGAATGTTACTTGTGATCTAAAATGTTCTTTTGTTCTAAAGGACATTATTGAGACATCTGGCAACATCTGAATAGAATATTCAGACTGGATAATAATATTATCACCAATGCTAATTTCTTGATTTTTTTTTAAACTTTTTATTTTTAGAGATAGGGTCTTTGTCACCACACAGTAATAGTGAGAGACTATTATATTGGGAGTGTCTTTTCTTCGCTTCTAATAAGGAGTTCTGTCGTGTCTATTAGGTCCATTTGGTTTTGTTGAGTTCAGGTCCTGAACATCTTTACCAGTTTTCTGCCTTGATGATCCGTCTAATACTGTCAGTGGGGTGTTGAAGTCTCCCACTATTATTGTGTGGTTATCTGAATTTCTTCTTAGGTCTCCAAGAACTTGTTTTATGAATCTGGGTGCTCCTGTGTTGGGTGGATATGTATTTACGATAGTTAGGTTTTCTTGTTGAATTGAAACCTTTACCATTATAGAATATTAATTATATAAGGGTAACAAATTTTCTTAGTATTTACTTATCTGAAAAGGATCTTGTTTTTCCTTCACTTATGAGGCTCAGTTGGCTGAATATGAAATTCTTGGTTGGAATTTCTTTTTTATTTTATTTATTTATTTTCTTTGAGATGGGGTCTCACTCTGTCATTCAGGCTGGAGTGCGATGGCGCCATCTTGGCTCACAGCAACCTCCATCTCGGGTTCAAGTGATTCTCCTGACTCAGCCTCCCAAGTAGCTGGGATTACAGGTGCCCACCACCATGCCTGGCTAATTTTTGTATTTTTAGTAGAGATGGAGTTTTACTGTGTCGGTCAGGTGGTCTCAAACTCCTGACCTCAGGTGATCCACCTGCCTCGGCCTCCCAAAGTGCTGGGATTACAGGTGTGAGTCACTGCACCTGGCCGGAATTTCTTTAAAAAAAAAAATGCTGAATATAGGCCCCCCCCATCTTTTCTGGTTGTATAGTTTCTACTGAAAGGCCTGCTGTTAGCCTAATGGTGTTTCCTTTGTAGGTGACCTGCTGTTTCTCTCTAGCTGCCTTTAAAACTTTTTCTTTATTTCGACCTTACAGAATCTGATGACTATGTGTCTTGGGGATAGTGATCTTTTATAGCGTCTGGCAGGGGTTCTCTGCATTTCCTGCCTTTGAATGTTGGCCTCTAGCAAGGTTGGGGAAATATTCACCGGCAATATCCTCAAATATGTTTTCCAAGTAGCTTGCTTTCTCTCCTTCTCTTTCAGGGATGCCAGTGAACTGTAGATCTGGTCTCTTTACATAACCTGTATTTCTCGGAGGTTTTATTCATACTTTTAAATTCTTTTTTTCTTTATTTTTGTCTGACTGAGTTATTTTGGAGAACGGTCTTCAAGCTCTGAGAGTGTTTCCTCAGTTTGGTCTATTCTACTATTAATACTTGAGATTGTATTACTAAATTCTTGAAGTGAGTTTTTTAGGTCTATCGGATCAGTTTATTTTTTTCTTAAAATAGCCATTTCATCCTTCATCTCCTGTAGCATCTTATTGATTCCTTGGATGGGGTTGCAACTTTCTCCTGAATCTCAATGATCTTCATTCCTATCCATTTTCTGAATTCTATGTCTGTCATTTCAGCCATTTCAGGCTGGCTAGGGACGATTGCTAGAGAATTAGTGTGGTGGTTTGGAGGTAAGAAGACACTCTGGTTTTTGAGTTGCCAGAGTTCTCACACTAGTTCTTTCTCATCTGTGTGGGCTGATGTTCCTTCAATTTTTGAAGTTGATGTGCTTTGGAGAGGTTTTCTGCTTTTATCTTCTTTGATGATCTTGGTTTGATTGTGGTATATGGTGGGTTTGGTTGACTTGCTTCATTTCTGGAAGATTTTAGGGGGCCCAGACTCAGCTCAGCACTCCTGGGCTGCGTGCTCTAACTCTGGGAGGGCTGGTGCTGGGCGCCTGGCTGTGCTATCTGAACCCTCAAGGTTAGGAATCTATTCTGCTGGAGGGGCTGAGTTGTTCCCAGTCTGCTGGCCACAGCACTGTGATGGAAGATGCTAGCCAAAGCACTTGGTCAGGGTGGTGTCAGTGAGATCTGTGCTTACTGATGTATGGCAGCAGCTGCAGCAGCATGGCGGGGTGCACACGTGTTAGCTGGGGAGGGGTTCCAGCAGAAATGGGGAGGCGGTGTTCCTGCATGTGCTCATGCCAGTGGTGGTGGTGGTGCATTGGTAGGGGGGAAAATGGGGGCTGGGGCACTGGCAGCCGTGGGGTTGCTGGTGTTGCACTTGTACTGGCGGTGGTGGCAGCTGGGGTGGGGTGCTGGTGGAGGTGAGGTTGCCAGCATTCATGAGCATGTTATAAAATTTTTAAATTTTTGTCTCAATTTTTTTTAAGTCACAAACATTTTTATTGGAAAGCAATGAGCTGCAGCAAAGTGACACTCAGTGCATGCAGCCAAATGGGTGAGGTGGGGGTACAGGTGGGTGCCAAGAGCTGACCCAAGACTAGAGCTCATGACCTCTGGGGCCTCTGGCTATAAGCCCTTTGGGCTGGAGTGTGCAGGCCCAGCAGAAATACAAAAATAAACTCTGTGGTCTAGCTGTCCCTGCCTGTGGTAGTTCGTTTGGGCAAGGTGGTTACTCTTTGCAGCAGGTCCTGTGCTGTCTAGTCCAGCCACAGCGTGGGCAGCAGAAGCCTATGGGGTTGAGTGGACACCTACAGGCTGGAGCCAAAGGGCCAGGCAGGTGTGGCCTTGGGCAGTGCTGAGACTCTGACAGCACCAGGGTCTGGCCTGCAGCTGGGGAGGCCTCAGGGCCTCTCAGGTGGGCAGGTCCAGGCATTGGTTGAAGCTGGATGAAGCTGGGGCCTGTGCTACTCCTCATCACATACAAATCACTGGGAACCTGTCCTCCTTGGTCTGGTCTCTTCGGCCCCACCCTCACTGCCTCCACCTCTGCTTCCTTTCTCTTCCTCCTCTTCCCCCAGTTCCAGGTCCATCTCGTTGCCTGCCTCTGAGGGTGTGCAGGTGGAGCTGCTAATGGAGCGGTGGCTGAAGAAAACAATTTGCTTGAGCCCTTTGTTGTAGAAGAAGTAGTTGAAGGACCAGAGGGTATCTTCTTCTCTGAAGGCATCTGGGTCCATGTCTGGGTTATAGCTGTGGGTGTCTCATTAAGCCAGGTGGATCTCCTCATCCACTGTGTTCCACAGCTGTGTTCTAGGACCTTGATGTCCCCCCACGCAGCTGAGAACAGACTGCGGTTGACTGCATTCACCACCCACCTGAGGCTGGGCTTCCGGCTGAACCCATGGCTGCGGGCTGTGCTGAGGTCATAGTCAGGCCTGAAAGGACTCGCTGAGCATGACAATCAAGTGGAAGAGGGTCTTGCAATTGCACTTGTCCCTGAGGGGGGCCCTTGTCCTTGCCACCTTGGTTCTTGCTCAGGCTGCTGGGGCTGAGGCCTGAGGTCTGGGATGGGGAGAGAGCCTTCAGTATGTGGGCCGCCCTCCTGTCAGAACAGTGTTTGTCGTCTCCTGCTATCTTACGTGAGTAGCTCTCAATCCTGCTGATAATGTGGGTATCTTTGCTCTCTACAGTTAGCTGTGAGTTGATGGCTTCAAAGCCCAGTTCTCCAATAGCTTCCTGTCTCAGGGAGGGAGCTCCATGCTTGAGAGGGGCCATTGCTGCCTGCCTGGTGGGGCTAAATCAGGCCTGGCTGGGTCATCGGCACCGGTGCATAGGCAGGGCAGGCTCCGCACAGTGTGGGCTCCTCAGCACCAGAGGGTGGCACCGTGGCATCCACCTGGGCCACACTGTATCTGGGGGAAGAAACTCCATGGCAATGTTTCATTATACCTGGCCCTGCTGGCTCATCCAGGTGGTCACTATGACACATCCTTACCACACTGCACATTGCCTGCTTTAGCCACCAACATGCCACCAACCACCACAGATCACCTTGGTCAGCCAGCAACCTCCACCTCCCCCACCAGTCAATGTCTATCAGTCAAAATTCCTAGAACTAAATAAGTATAAAAGAAACTTAACTACTTCAACTTAAAAATAATTTGCTTCTGTCTGCCTATGAAAATGTTAATATTTGTGAAATCTGAGTGAAGGGTATATGGCAATTCTTCAACTATTCTTTCAACTGCTCTGTAAGCCTGAAATTATGTTAAAATAAAAATTCAAAAACAAAAGCCAAAAACCTTGTACCCTTAAGGGTTACTTGAGTTAGTGGTTCACAGCAACAGATACTCAAATCTGGTTTGTGTTACTTCTGAAAATTAAGCTTCATATCTTTTTCTTCATGGCTCTTTCTGGTGTAAAGTACAACTTGAATCTCATGTTAGAAGGTCTATCCCAACAAAGCCCAGACCACTGGACTCTAGAGGCTTCACGCATGTGGCAGACTCCTGAATATTGTCAGGCTTTATCTCCCATTTTCTGGCATTGCAGGTACTTTACTAAGGCATTTAGGTGCTAGCTCTTTGGGGCTCTCCAGGTCCAATTAGCATGATAAAGATATGTAATGGATCAGCTTGGGCTTCTGGGTCCCTCCAGATTGCATTCTGACTAAGTGCAGGCAAGCCGACATAGCCCGGAGGCAGGACAGTAAAAGTATACTGCTGTCCCTGCCACAACAGGGCAGAAGAGGATTAAGGTGGGGGTGGGCAGGATAAAGCATTTGCCAGGTCAATAGTGGCCCAGGTGCCAGGGACTGTGTGGATTTGCTCCAGTAAAAATACCGTCTCTGCAATTCTGGTTGTGATTCACCTCACCACTGGATTAGTCCGTGATGATCTGTGGTCATTTTCTATGACCTACTTGATTTGTACACTGATCAAACAAGTGAGTTAATTGTGGATTTGGTAGGAATCACTACCTTGTATCTTTCAAGTCTTTGGTGGTGGCATTAAGCTCATGTGAGGAGCAGAAAAAAAGTTTGTGAGAAGGCTGGCACACTGTAGGAGCTTGATAAATGATAGCTATCATCATTGTTGTTGTCATGTGTTATTGTCTTAGCCAAGTCAGGGTCAAAATTTACATTATCTTTTTTCTTTTTGAAATATCATATTTCATTGCTCCTAAGAAGCATACTGTTGTGTACTTTAACATCTCTGAAGTCAGGATATGATAATAGTTGATGGTATGTTGTGATTGCTGTTGTTTCGATTAAAATTGTGTTCATTTGTAGAGGATTTTTCTTTGCTTCTGCCTGTCACTTGGGGCACAGGCTGAGTTACCAATGAGAGTAAAGCTTCAGGACACCTCATTTGCATGGCCCTTCCAAGGTCCTGAAAGGGTTCCACCTCACAGCTTCATGGGATCAAATTACATATTTTTTTTCTGAGACAGTCTCAATCTGTTGCCCAGGTTGGAGTGCAGTGTTGCTATCTCAGCTCACTGCAAACTCTGCCTCCCAAGTTGAAGTGATTCCCATGCTTCAGACTCCAGAGTAGCTGAGGCACGTGCCACCACACCCAGCTAATTTTCTTTGTATTTTTAGTAGAGAGATGCAGTTTTGCCATGTTGGCCAGGATGGTCTCAAATTCCTGGCCTCAAGTGATCTGCCTGTCTCAGCCTCCCAAAGCGCTGGGATCACAGATGTGAACCACCACACTCAGCCTCATCATAGGTTTTTATAAAATTTGCAAGAGTAAGATATTTTGTATTTCTTTTTTAAAAGAGGGCATCAAATTATATAAGCTTTGGGTTCTACCCTTGCCAAGGAACTCATAATAATGTGAAACTACAGGTGGTCCCTAACTTTACGATGTTTCAGCTTATGATTTTCCAACTTTGTGATAGTGTGAAAACAATATGCATTCAGTGTGCTTCTCAACTTACAACTGGATAAAGTTGACTTATGATATAGTCACCTTATGATGGTTTATCAGGACATAACATCATCATAAGTTGAGGTGCATTTGTACATTAAATTCTCTGAGGTTTTTTTGATGGCACAAGTAGTACCAGAAAACTGCATGAGAACCAACTTTTGATTCAAATTATACGGGCAGATTTTACTTCCTCCATCCATGGCAAAATTGAAACATGCAACTTCTCTTGCTGTCCTACTATGCATGTCCCTTTCTTTCTCTTTTTTCTGTATATTTCTCATGGACCCCCTCCACAGAGGCCTTTAGTGTCTCAGCTTTATCTGGGGTCTAATAGACTTCTATCTGGAGTAGTTTCATTTTTAGTGGCACATCCAGTAATGGTATCTCTATTAATCAATGATGCCTTAGGTTCCATGAACATAGTACATAATAGGGTACTCAAGATGGGTCCCCCTGAGACCAGCAGGCTGGCCTGTGGAGTTTGGACAACACTGCCCCCTAGAGGTCTGTCTTGTAACCTGAGAAGATTAGCCCCCTAACAATTACTGACAGGGAGTTTCTTAAAAATCAGGAAGGATGCTCACTTTTATTTATTATTTATTTTTTATTATTATTATTTTTGAGACAGAGTCTTGCTCTGTTCCCCAGGCTGGAGTGCAGTGGTGCAGTCTCAGCTCACTGCAACCTCCACCTCCAGGGTTCAAGCAATTCTCCTGCCTCAGCCTCCTGTGTAGCTGGGATGACAGGCGCCTGCCACTACACCTGGCTAATTTTTAGATTTTAAGTAGAGACGGGGTTTTACCATGTTGGCCAGGCTGTTCTCGAACTCCTGACCTTGTGATCCACCAGTCTCGACCTCCCAAAGTGCTGGGATTACAGGCGTGAGCCACCGTGTCTGGCCTTATTTATATTTTTAAAAACAGGATCTCGATCTGTCACCCAGGCTGGAGTGTAATGGCATGATCATGGCTCCCTACAGTCCCCACTTCCTGGGCTCAAGCAATCTCTCCCACCTCAACCTTCCAAGTGATGGCAGTGGCAGCTTATCTGGAGCAGCTGCTGCAAAGACGCTGGCTGCAGTAGGGGAGGCACACCAGGGCTGTGTACTCCAGGAAGCTGGCAAGAGCCGGTGGAAGCTGGCAGGAGCCGGTGGAAGCTGGGAACAGGAGGAAGCCAGGACTCATTCCTGGTTGGAGAGACAGGAGCCCCACCCTCCCAGGTGCAGCTGCAACTGCCCAGCTGCCCTGCAGACCTAGGCATTCCTGCACTCTCGGGGGCCAGGAAGTCCCCCATGGCCCCATAGGCTTGGGAATGCCTGCTCCTGCTGCCTGGCCTCTCTCTGCTCCTGGCACCCACTATGATTGTGGAGCAAAGTGAGGCTGCCCAGCTGTGGCTGCAGACTCGGGCATTCCTGCAGTCTTGGGGGCCAGGGAAGCCCTCACAGGCTTGGAAATGCCTGCTTCTGCTGCCCAGCCTCTCCCCACCCATGGCCGCCCATAGGCCAATCAGCGTGCATTGCTGATCATTCCTCCCCTTTGAAGACCATAAAAACCCTGGACTCAGCCAGACTTCGGCAGACATCAAGATGATCTGCCTGCGGAGAGGAGCTACCCACTGTGGGTCTCCTCTCTGCTGAGAGCTGGACTCTCATCAGGATGACCTGCCTTCAGAGAAGAGCTACCCACTGTGGGTCTCCTCTGAGCTGTTCTGTGGCTCAGTAAAACACCATTTTGCCTTGCTCACCCTCCACTTGCCCGCATACCTCATTCTTCCTGGACGTGGGACTTGGGGTACCAGGGCTGAAAGAGCTGTAACACAAACAGGGCTGAAACACACCCATTGCTCACCACATTGCAGGTGATAAGAAGGAGAAAAGAGAGAAGGAGAGAAGAGCTGTGGCCCTTTGGGGAGCCCAGACCTAGGAGCTCCCCGAACCAGGGCTGTGACACCCTATTTGGGGCTCTGCAGTTACTGGCATCTCCAAGCTTCTGGGCACCACAGCGTTTCCTGATGACAGCTGTAGAAGCTGCTTGCAGTATGCCTGGTCCAGCTGCAGACTCGCAGGGAGCCAGCACCTGTGCCAGCACCTGGAGCTGCCCACCCCACCACAGCCAGTGTGCCTGGCTGTGAGAAGTGGCCAGACCCCACACTTGCTTGCTCACACACCCCTTGCCACTCCATGCCTGGCTCACCCTTGGCTGGAATGGGAATCAGGCCAGTTGCGTGAGCTGAGCACAGCCTGCCAGGCTGAATAGGTGGTATGAGCCCAGCGGGCCTGAGCAAAGCTTGAGCAAAGATGCCACTGACCACAGAGATTTCTGGCCAGAAAAGTGACACCCCATCTATGGGCGTACAACCCTGAAGGGGCCTGATCTTTTTTTTTTTTTTTTTTTTTTTTTTTTTGAGACGGAGTCTCTCTCTGTCGCCTAGGCTGGAGTGCAGTGGCGCGATCTCGGCTCACTGCAAGCTCCGCCTCCCAGGTTCACGCCATTCTCCTGCCTCAGCCTCCCGAGTAGCTGGGACTACAGGCGCTCACCACTGCACCCGGCTAATTTTTTTGTATTTTTAGTAGAGACGGGGTTTCACCGTGTTAGCCAGGATGGTCTCGATCTCCTGACCTCGTGATCCGCCCGCCTCGGCCTCCCAAAGTGCTGGGATTACAGGCGTGAGCCACGGCGCCCGGCCAGGGGCCTGATCTTGTCTGGTCTTGGAAGCTAAGCAGGGTCAGGCCTGGTTAATACTTGGATGGGAGAAAAGCAATGCCCCAAGGATCCTGTGACACACAAGTAGCTGGGATCACAGGTGTGATACACCACATCCAGCTAATTTTTTTAAATTTTATTTTATAGAGATGGGGTCTCCTTATGTTGCCCAGGCTGGTCTCAAACTCCTGTGCTCAAATGATCCTCCTGCCTTAGCCTCCCAAACTGCTGGTATTAAAGGTGTGAGCCACTGTGCCTGGCTGGATGCCCACTTTTAGTATGGTTATTCAACATAACACTGGAAGTCCTGGCCAGAGCAATTAGGCAAGAACATAAACTAAAGGGCATCCAAACTGGAAAGAAATAAATCAAATTGGTCTTGTTCATAGATGACTTGATTTTATACCTAGAAATACCTAAAGGCCCCACCAAAAAACTACTGGAACTGATAAACAAATTCAGCAAAGTTGCAGGATACAAAATTAACACACAAAAATCAGTAGCATTTATATACACCAACAGCAAACAATCTGAAACAGAAATCAAGAAAGCAATCCCATTTACAAGGTACAAAAATATAAAATATCTAGAAATCAGTCTAACAAAGTAAAAGATCTATATAAGGAAGACTATAAAACTCTGAAAAAAATAGGAGAGGACACAAAAAAATGGAAAGATATTCCATGCTAATGGATTGGAAGAATTAATATTGTTAAAATAACAGTACTACCCAAAGCAATTTACAGGTTTAATGAAATCCCTATCAGAATAGCAATAACATTCTTCACAGAAATAGAAAAAAAGCCTAAAATATATATGAAACCACAAAAGACCCCAAATAACCAAGGCAATAGTGAGCAAAAAGAACAAAGCTGGAGGCATCACACTACCTGACTTCAAAATTCACTACAAAGCTATAGTAATCAAAACAGCATGGCACTGGCAAAAAAGCAGACACACAAATCAATAGAACAGAATAGAGAACCAAGATATAAATCAATTCATTTACAACCAACTCATCTTTAACAAAGGCACTAAGAATACACAATAGAGTGAGGACAGCTTCTTCAATAAATGGTGCTGGGAAAACTGGCTAATTATATGCAGAAGAATGAAACTAGACCACTGTCTCTTACCATAAACAAAAATAAAATCAGATGGTTTAAAGACTTAAATGAAAGACCTAAAGCTATGAAAGTACTAGAAGAAAACACTGGGAAATGTTCCAGGACATTGAGCTGGGCAAATATTTTTTGTGTAAGACTTCCAAAGCACAGGCAACCAAAGCAAAAATAGACAATTGGGATTTCATGAAGCTAAAAAGCACAGCAAAGGAAACAATTAACAAAGTGAAGAGACAGCCCACAGAATGGGAGAAAATATTTGCAAACCATCCATCTGACAAGGGATTAACAACAGGAATATATAAGGAGCTCAAACAACTCAATAGCAGAAACACAAATCATCCAATTTAAAAATAGGCAAAAGATCTGAATAGATATTTCTCAGAAGTATACATACAAATAGCCAACAGGTATATGAAAAAATACTCAACATCACTAATCATCAGGGAAATGCAAATCAAAACCACAATGAGATATCACCTTACCCCAGTTAAAAGCTTGTATCAAAAAGACAGGCAATAACAAATGCTGGAGAGGATGTGGACACAGGGGAACCTTGGTACACTGCTTGTGGGAATGTAAATTAGTACAGCCATTATGGAGAACAGTATGAAAGTTCTTCAAAAAACTAAAATTTGATCCAGCAATTCCACTGCTAGAGATATATACCCCAACGGAAGGGAATCAGTGTATTGAAGAGATATATGCACTCTGTTTATTATAGTATCATTCACATTAGTCAAAATATGTAGTCAGGCTGGGTTGGTGGCACATGCTTGTAATCTCAGCACTTTAGGAGGCCAAGGCAGACGGATCACTTGAGGTCAGGAGTTCGAGACCAGCCTGGCCAGCATGGTGAAACCCCGGGTCCACTAAAAATACAAAAATTAACTGGGCATGGTGGCACACACCTCCCAGCTACATGGGAGGCTGAGGCAGGAGAATTGCTTGAACCTGGGAGGCGGAGGTTGCAGTGAGCTGAGATCATACCACTGCACTCCAGCCTGGGCAACAAAGTGCCACTCTATCTCAAAAAAAAAAAAACAAAAAAAACCTTCCAAAATATGTAGTCAACTTAAGTGCCCATCAGTGGATGAATGGATAAAGAAAATGTGGTATATATGCAATGGAATATTATTCAGCCATAATAAGAATGAAATCCTGTCATTTGCAACAACGTGGATGGAAGTGGAAGAAATTATGTTAAGTAAAATAAGCCAGGCACAGAAAGACAAACATGTCATGTTCTCACTCATATGTGGGAGCTAAAACTATGGGTCTCATGAAGATAGAGAATAGACTGGTGGTTACCAGAGACCAAGAAGGGTACAGGAGAAGGGGAATGAAGGGAAAAAAAGAGAATACAAATGTATTTATTACCACTGAAGTATACACTTAAAAATGATAAAGATGGGGCCGGGTGTGGTGGCTCATGCTTGTAATTCCAGCACTTTGGGAGGCCAAGATGGGTGGATCATGAGGTCAGGAGATCGAGACCATCCTGGCTAACACAGTGAAACCCTCTCTCTACTAAAAATACAAAAAATTAGCCGGTGTGGTGGAGGGCGCCTGTAGTCCCGGCTACTCAGGAGGCTGAGGCAGGAGAATGGCTTGAACCAGTGAGGCAGAGCTTGCAGTGAGCCGAGATGGCGCCACCGCACTCCAGCCTGGGCGACGGGGCGAGACTCCGTCTCAAAAAAAAAAAAAAAAAAAAAAAGAAAAAAAATGGTAAAGATGGTAAATTATGTATGTGTATTTTACCTCAATTAAAACAATTTTTTAAAATTAAGTTCTAGGGTACATGTGCACAATGTGCAGGTTTGTTACATAGGTATACATGTGCCATGTTGGTTTGCGCACCCATCAACTCGTCATTTACATTAGGTATTTCTCCTGATGCTATCCCTCCCCCAGCGCCCCCCACCCCAACAGGTCCTGGTGTGTGATGTTCCCCGCCCTGTGTCCAAGTGTTCTCATTGTTCAGTTCCCACCTATGAGTGAGAACATGAAGCGTTTGGTTTTCTGTCTTTGTGATAGTTTGCTGAGAATGATGGTTTCCAGCTTCATCCATGTCTCTGCAAAGGACATGAACTCATCCTTTTTTATGGCTGCATAGTATTCCATGGCATATGTGCCACATTTTCTTTATCCAGTCTATCATTGATGGACATTTGGGTTGGTTCCAAGTCTTTGCTATTGTGAATAGTGCTGCAATAAACATACGTGTGCATGTGTCTTTACAGTAGCATGATTTATAATCCTTTGGGTATATACCCAGTAATGGGATCGCTGGATCAAATAGTAGTTCTAGTTCTAGATCCTTGAGGAATTGCCACACTGTCTTCCACAATGGTTGAACTGATTTACACTCCCAACAGTGTAAAAGCATTCCTATTTATCCACATCCTCTCCAGCATCTGTTGTTTCCTGACTTTTTAATGATCGCCATTCTAACTGGTGTGAGATGGTATCTCATTGTGGTTTTGATTTGCATTTCTCTGATGACTAGTGATGATGAACATTTTTTCATGTGTCTGTTGGCTGCATAAATGTCTTCTTTTGAGAAGTGTCTGTTCATATCCTTTGCCCACTTTTTGATGGGGTTGTTTGTTTTTTCTTGTAAATTTGTTTAAGTCCTTTGTAGATTCTGGATATTAGCCCTTTATCAGATGGGTAGATTGCAAAACTTTTCTCCCATTCTGTAGGTTGCCTGTTCACTTTGGTGGTAGTTTCTTTTGCCATGCAGAAGCTCTTTAGTTCAATTAGATCCCATTTGTCAATTTTGGCTTTTGTTGCCATTGCTTTTGGTGTTTTAGTCATGAAGTCCTTGCCCATGCCTATGTCCTGAATGGTATTGTGTAGGTTTTCTTCTAGGGTTTTTATGGTTTTAGGTCTAACATTTAAGTCTTTAATCCATCTTGAATTAATTTTTGTATAAGGTGTAAGGAAGGGATCCAGTTTCAGCTTACTGCATATGGCTAGCCAGTTTTCCCAGCACCATTTATTCAACAGGGAATCCTTTCCCCATTTCTTCTTTTTGTCAGGTTTGTCAAACATCAGATGGTTGTAGATGTGTGGTGTTATTTCTGAGGCCTTTGTTGTGTTCCATTGGTCTATATATCTGTTTTGGTACCAGTGCCATGCTGTTTTGGTTACTGTAGACTTGTAGTACAGTTTGAAGTCAGGTAGCGTGATGCCTCTAGCTTTGTTCTTTTTGATTGTCTTGGCAATGCAGGCTCTTTTTTGGTTCCATATGAACTTTAAAGTAGCTTTTTGCAATTCTGTGAAGAAAGTCATTGGTAGCTTGATGGGGATGGCATTGAATCTATAAATTACCTTGGGCAGTATGGCCATTTTCACGATATTGATTCTTCCTATATATGAGCATGGAATGTTCTTCCATTTGTTTGTGTCCTCTTTTATTTCATTGAGCAGTGGTTTGTAGTTCTCCTTGAAGAGATCCTTCACATCCCTTATAAGTTGGATTCCTAGGTATTTTATTCTCTTTGTAGCAATTGTGAATGGGAGTTCACTCATGATTTGGCTCTCTGTTTCTCTTTATTGGTGTATAGGAATGCTTGTGATTTTTGCACATTGAT
This sequence comes from Homo sapiens, assembly GCF_000001405.40. Classification (NCBI taxonomy): domain Eukaryota; kingdom Metazoa; phylum Chordata; class Mammalia; order Primates; family Hominidae; genus Homo; species Homo sapiens. Next base: position 133,481,178 of record NC_000003.12, on the reverse strand, counting down.
TTTGTATCCTGAGACTTTGCTGAAGTTGCTTATCAGCTTGAGGAGATTTTGGGCTGAGACGATGGGGTTTTCTAAATATACAATCATGTCATCTGCAAACAGGGACAATTTGACTTCCTCTTTTCCTAATTGAATACCCTTTATTTCTTCCTCTTGTCTGATTGCCCTGGCCAGAACTTCCAACACTATGTTGAATAGGAGTGGTGAGAGAGGGCATCCTTGTCTTGTGCCGGTTTTCAAAGGGAATGCTTCCAGTTTTTGCCCATTCAGAATGATATTGGTTGTGGGTTTGTCATAAATAGCTCTTATTTTTTTGAGATACATTCCATCAATACCTAGTTTATTGAGAGTTTTTAGCGTGAAGGGGTGTTGAATTTTGTCAAAGGCCTTTTCTGCATCTATTGAGATAATCATGTGGTTTTTGTCATTGGTTCTGTTTATGTGATGGATTATATTGAGTGATTTGTGTATGATGTTTAAAAAAAGCTCAGAAAGTGTCTGGGGATGTTGAAACAGATGCCTGGTCACTTGCCTTGATTTGCATGGGGCTGAAACAGGAATGAGAATTCAGCCCAGAGATAGGGTTCAGAGCTGTCAGAAGAACTGATGTAATTTGAGGTGGGTCCTGAAGCTAGATTGAGAGACAGCCTATGAGACCTTGGAGAGAAAATCACCATGAGGGAGAGAAGAGACTGGCAGAATAGTCTGACTGAGCAGGTGGGGGCTGGCTGTTAGGCCGTGCTGGCCTCTTTGATTCAGCTCACTTCTCCCAGGGCTTATGTGGTTAGGAGATTAAGGAAAGGAGAGGGGTATGAAAGAAAACAAAAGGCCTGTGTCAGGGGAGGCTCAAGGTCTCTGGTAGAGGAAACTCCCTCCAAAAGAGCTAGTTATGAGAAGCAGTGCAGTGCAGTAGAAGGATTACGTGGGCCAATTAGGAGGCCTATAAAACTGTTGGAATGTAGCCACTCTGTTTCTAGGTGGGACGCTCACCTGCCAGGAATTTCAGCAGTAGAAGGATTACGTGGGCCAATTAGGAGGCCTATAAAACTGTTGGAATGTAGCCACTCTGTTTCTAGGTGGGACGCTCACCTGCCAGGAATTTCAGTTGTATTTGGTGAGGAAAATTGGTGGGAAAGCAGGACTTCTCACAAATTATCGTGCAAATATGACCTCGATTGTTTTCACAAGCTGGTCAAATCCATTGTAGATCCCACCCACCTCTAGTCAACTTTAATCTATGCTGTCCATTGTGGTAGCCACTGGCCACATGTGGCTATTGAGCTCTTGAAATATGACTAGTGTGACGGAAGAACTGAATTTTAAGTGTTATTTAATTTTAATTAATTAAAAATTTAATTAAAATCTTAAGCTGTGTAAAATATTTGTCCTGAAAACTTATAAGAAAAATTTGAAATGGGATTTTTTATGTTGATACATTTAGAGTTGATTCTCAATATATGTAATACCTCCTTGAACATGATGTTAATAAATACTGAATGAGATGCAAGACTTAATGAATTTACTTAACTTAGACAGGTGTGGTTTTGAAACTGATGTGCTTTTGCTTCAAAGTCACACGAACTCTTCTGAAAAAGATGAACCACTTTATGTCAATGTGGATATGAAGATCAAAGGAAAACAAATCTTGTGATCTTAAATTCAGTTATTGGAAAACTTTTAAGTATGTTTGGAACAGCTTGGGTACGTCAATTTACTTTTTCAACTATAAATTTTATGAAATTTAAATATAGCTCAAGTATTTCTGATGAAGATTTAGTATGTGAATTGAGATGGGCTATTAGGGTAAAACATAAGCCAGATTTCAAACTTAGTACCAAAAATATAAAACTCTCAATAATTTAAAAATATTGATTACATTATGAAATAATAGAATTTTGGACATAACAAGATGATTAAAATATATTAAAATTAATTTCACCTGTTTATTTTTCCCTTTTTGAGATATGGCTATTAGAAAAATTAAAATTACATATGTAGTTTGCATTCTGTTTCTATTGGACAGTGCTAATCTAGATTATTTAAGGGCAGGTTCACATTTCGTACATCTTCATATTCTTGGCCTCTAACATGGCATTGACATATAACAGGGACTGCATAAATATTTATTGAGGAAAAGGATTTAGTTTTGGAGGGAGCTTTCCACTACTCAGCATGATTGTTGCTCTGGTGAACTGCTAAGACTGAATTCCCAAAATAATGTGTAAACCCACTATTTCACTTCCTCAGGACAATTTATTACCCTACGTGTTTCTCTTGCTTCTTTTCTTTTGGTTGCTGGTACTAAACAATGAGGGGCTGAACCTACCACTAGTCTATTGATTTCCTGTCCCCTCTCCTTTTGTTTTCTTCTCAAAGCAACCACAACACCATTAATTATCATCCAGGGAGTTAGTGACAACTTGTCTTAATCATCTTGTCAGGTTTGCCTTTGTCTTTTTAGTTTAAAGTTGTGAACCCCATTTATACACTTTTCCTGTCTAGGATGTCAGTAAGAACTTTAGCTGTAGATAAAAACAAAACAAAAACAAGGTATGCATGACTTGTCCAAAGAAATTTAGTAGTTTTTGCTCATCCATTTTGCAAAGCCCTTTCTTTAAGATGCAACATGTTTTTTGGTCCAATCCCAGAATTACACTGAAAACTGGACTCCCTGTGGTGCAAATTACCTTCCACTCTCAGAGCAGGAGAAAATGGAATATTTCCTCTTGGGCATGATAGCAAAAACTCTGTCGACTCTGCAACACCACATGTCTATGCTGGGATCTATTCCTGTTCCTGCTCAACCTTTTGTTCAAAATAACCAGTCGATATGATCCAATCAAACCAGTTACTTCAGCTGAGAAAACAGTTTGCTTTAGTTCTTCACTAAACTAGCAGACTAATTTCTCAAACACGATGGTGCTTTTGTGTCAGGGGACTGAGTTTCCAATCAAGAATGGGTAAAGACACAGTCTGGGTCATCCTTTCCCCTTCTTGTGTATTGGGATGTCCCAACTGGAAGTGCTAGGCAAACCTTTATGAATTGCTTGATGTCAGATAACTATGTGGGGAATACGAAGTATGGAGTGCTTCTGTCTGATATTATTACAGCTGCAAGCTAATGTTTTAGCATAAGTATGTCTCATGCAACATGTGGGACATACTTATACTAAAAACCTCTTCCTTTTTTTATCTGAAATTTAAATTAAACTGGGCATTCTATATTTTTATTTCCTAAGTCTGGCAATCCCAGATAAGATTCTAGATTTGTCTCCAAAGAAACAACCCATCCTTTTCTCAAAACAAGCAAGACAATGTAAGGGTTTATAAAATAATATCTATGGGGTGTGTGGAGACAATCAGAGACAGGCATGGTGCTTGATGGTTCTTGCTAAATCAACTTGCTGAAAACCAAGTGAGGTCAGACTCAGATGTCTATTTTTATACCTTTGATGACAAAATGAATCTATGAAGGGGTTGTGAAAACTGTAATGTGCTGCTCTGTCTGCTTTGCTTTTCTTATCCTTTGCATTGTTGATCCTTCAGTGAGCACACCTGCACTCACCAAGGCTGTAAACCCATGAGGGCAGAAACTGGGCCTTCTTTTTATTGGTATCCCCAAAGTGCATCAAAATGTCTGGGCACCAGTACATGCTAAGAAGTGTTACAGATGATCATGAAGGTAAGATTTAAGGATCTTGATATAAAAGAATGTTGAATCTGAAAGCCATGGATGCTCTAGCAATCCCATTGGGAGTTCACACAGCCCTTCAGAAGCTAGGCCAGAGGCCAGTGGAGTTGCCTGGTGTGGAAATAGAGCTCGGTTGTGTTTCAGGAGGTGTCCATTGGGAGCCCTGCTCTGGTCTGCTCCAGAACAAATGCTCTGTCCTTGACACCAATACAAGCAGCAGCCTCCCCTGCCACCTGTCAGTGAACCACTGCCAAAGCGTAATTGTACTGGGATGTTGTGAGAGGAAGCCTGATTTAAACGAGGCCCTGGCAGAGTTGGGGGGCCAGCAGTGCCTTCTCATACCTGTTAATGAAGCCTCATTAGAAACAGCAAGAGCCTGTGCTGGGAACTGGAAGCACCAGTCTGCCACGGCTCTCCCTGCCAAAGGGTGATTAACTGAATGATTTACGGCAGCTGCTCTTTGAGATGATGGTGCGGAGGAGACCAAGTGTGTGCAGCCCTGCACAGCATGCTGTCTGGTGGAAACTCAGGAGGATGCGCAGATACATTCTCCCGTCTTTCCAGTGGCTGAAACGACTTCCAGGTTCTAAAAACTGCATGGCCATTCGGTCATAGAAGTACCTCCTTTTGATGGCTGACCTTTTGGGGACTGTCACCTTTGAAGCCTCCAGCTACATTTAGGTTAGGAATTTAGGTCTTGCCTGAGGGACCAAAAATTAATAGTAACAAGAAAGACAGAAAAGAAACAGACGTCAGTGTCTTGTGCATCCAACATAGCAAGGCCAGCCACCCACTTTGTTTTCTGGCAAGACTCTTGTACCCAGGCGGTTCAATTATGGGCAGCCCCATAGTGTGCAGCTATGGAGATGGATACTTTGCTAAAATGTAGTTTTAGGGTGTCTTGCCTATTTCCATGTCTCAAACAACAAACTGACCTATGTCAAGGGGCTATGCACATTGTAAATAGTGGTTCTGCTCATGTGATCTTTAATACAATTCCTTTGCTCTTGCAGGCCAAAAAGGAAAACCAGTTGTAGCAATTCCAACCAGGATACCATATATCTTGCCTTTTATTTATTTATTTTTTTTGTGTGATAGTCTTGCTCTGTTGCCCAGGCTGGAGTGCAGTGGCACAATCTCGGCTCACTGCAACCTCCGCCTCCTGGGTTCAAACGATTCTTCTGCCTCAGCCCCCTGAGTAGCTGGGACTACAGGCGCCCGCCACCAAGCCTGGCTAACGTCTGTATTTTTAGTAGAGACGGGGTTTCACCATATTCGCCAGGCTGGTCTCGAACTCCTGACCTTGTGATCTGCCCACCTTGGCCTCCCAAAGTGCTGGGATTACAGGCATGAGCCACCGCGCCTGGCCACCTTGCTTCTCTTATAAGCAATCCTTAAGGATAAATAAATGTTCTTTTCTTTGTGTGGGCCTTGGTTATTTGGACCCTCGGGTATGGGGGTTTTCAAATGTACCAGTGTTGGATACATCCCCCTGTCTGGATTAGCAGCTCACAAACACAAAGACTCAGCTTGGATATTTTGGTCTGTAATTCTGTGTGATAGGTAGACCAACAGAAGTTTGAGGGAGGAATGACAAAATTAAAGTTGGGCTTTTTTTTTTTTTTTTTTTCCTTTCAGTTTTAGAGACACTGAGAACCTGTGGTAGGACACAGGTGGTGGTTTCAATTTTAATCAGAAGGCAAGAGAGTCTTGCCTGGGTAGGTGGCAGATGCATGAACTATATTTGGCTGGCTTAGGCCCTGAGAGAACTGGAGAAAGGACCCTGGAAGAAAATTCTGAGGCTGTAAGTGGGGTGAGCAACCACAGTGTAATTAATCCCCCACTTAGATTGAATGGGTTTAGATTGGGCTTAGATTGAAGTTCCCTTTTAACTGATTGAGAGATGCTCTGCCAATAGCAAGTGAAATGTGTGTGTCTGCACATGAATATGCATGCAGAGTATATTAAAGAGGTCTGAATACTCCACGATGCCTGTAATTATGAAACATGTGATAAAGCACCACACTAATCCCCTCTCGAGCAAGAGTGTTGTTTTTTGTCCCAGACTGCGTCAATCCTGCATGCCATGAGCACTGCTTTTGCCTCCGCAGCACTTTTATGTTGACAAACCCAAGAGCAGGTGACCCTAGGGAGGCAGATGGCGTCACACTCAAGGGAATCCTTCCAGAAGCCTTCAAGCATAGCTCTGTGAGCAAAGGCCAGACAGACAAAGTGATATCCATCTCGACCCTATAGTGAGTTGAACAAGGTGGGCAAACTGGACGCTGCGCACAAAGCATTTATTTGAAGGAGGACAAGGGAGATTGCTCAAGCTACAGACTACTCAGATTAAAGCAGAAGGATCCTCTCCACTTCCAGGAAGCTTTTCAGCTCAAGCTGAATTAACCAGGGAATCCAGCAGGGACTGGAGCTCAGGAGAAAGCTCCTCAAGCAACTTCTTGGGTCAGCTGTTGAGGAAGGGTGTTTTCTTCATGAAAAAGAGGAAGTTTCTCCATCAGCTGAAAGGAAACACATAGGAGTCAGAAGCAATGGGTGAGGAAAATCGGTCATTCTATCACAATAGGATTACGAGAAAGGGGGCCATCTCATGAAAGAATCTGGCCTTTGGAACAAGATAGTTTTGGGTTTTAAATAATTACTCCATGGTTATTTGCTGTGAGACCTTGGGCCATGACTTAAGCTCTCTGAGGCTTTGTTTCCTGTCTCTAAAACACGGATCATGAGGTTGTCTTGGCAGGGTTTGGAGGATAAACAAAAATAATCAAGAGTCAGGTCTGCCTTGGCACTCACTAAATGAACGTAGCACATAGATTCTTAAGAAGTAACTCGGCCTAACTCACTGCTCTTGCTGTTTGTTTAAATTGACTTTGTGTGTTTATACAGATGCTCATAGGCATCTGAAAAAAAAATACTTTGTTAGGAACATCTGGCTTTTATAATCAACAAAAATCAATTCAATAAAAGACAGTTGGAGAGGAGCTGGATGACATATTTTCCATTTGAAAGCAGGGCGTGGTTAGGTCGCTTCCTTGAGGCTCTCCCGCCTTCTGAATAAAGAGAGGTTACACAGTTGGAGAGAGCAGGAGACCTGGGCTCCCATCCCAGTGCTGTCTCCGCCTCCTGTGTGATCATGCGCAAATCTTTTTCCATTCTGGGTCTTTGTGTTCTCTCTTGAATCAGGAGGGGTTGGATGATACAATCACTAAGCTGTCTCTATTCCTTATTCAACATATGTCAGACAAGGAGTCTTGGAGGGAAATAAGAAGGCATAGAACTATGATACAAAATAAGGGCCTGGGTTTCTGGAAAGAGTTGGCAAGGAAGCTAAGGCCCAAGGCTGATGTATATGCCTCTGGAATCCTTATCTATTAAAAAAAGAGTGAGTGCAAGTGTGTGTGTGTAATTATGGCAGACTAACTCAACTCCTAGTCCCAACCCCTTGCCTGCCTCCACTATGGAGTCTGGAAAAGCTAAAGAGTTGCTTTCTTAGCCTCCCTTGCAGATGGGTATGGCCAGTATAAGCAGGTTCTGGCCAATGAGATATAAGGGACAGTCCACTGCAAGCCTCAAAATGTCTTTCCTTCACTGATTAAAGGAGAGGATCATTCAAGAAAAAGCCTTTTGACTTTTCATTTTGTTCTGTACTAAGAAAAATTCTTCTGCCTTGGGATCCTGTTGACCTGTGACCTTACCCCCAACCCTGTGCTCTCTGAAACATGTGCTGTGTCCACTCAGGGTTAAATGGATTAAGGGCGGTGCAAGATGTGCTTTGTTAAACAGATGCTTGAAGGCAGCATGCTCGTTAAGAGTCATCACCACTCCCTAATCTCAAGTACCCAGGGACACAAACACTGCGGAAGGCCGCAGGGTCCTCTGCCTAGGAAAACCAGAGACCTTTGTTCACTTGTTTATCTGCTGACCTTCCCTCCACTATTGTCCTATGACCCTGCCAAATCCCCCTCTGCGAGAAACACCCAAGAATGATCAATAAAAAAAAAGAAAAAGCCTTTTTTTTTTTTTTTTTTTTTGCTGCTGCCTCTTCTCTCCCACTTCCGGCCAGGAATGAGGATGTGATGTTTGGATCTGTGGCTGGCATATGGTAACCATGGGGTGACAAAGATAAAGACAAAAAGCCAATGTTGTCATGGTATGTTAGAAAGATGAAAAGAGCTTGAGTCCTTAATGAAATCTTTGAGCAGCCTAGATCACCTGTTTCTGGGACTCTTAAATAAATGATTTACACATCTTTGCTACTCAGAGTGTAGTCTGTGGAGCAGCAGTATAGTCATCACTTGGGAGCTTGTTAGAAAGGAAGACTCTCAGACCCCACCCCAGACGTACTGAAGCAGAATCTGCATTTAAAAAAGATGCCCAGCTGGGGTGTCACGGCTCACACCTGTAACCCCAGCTATTCTGGAGGCTTAGGTGAGAGGATCACTTGAGCCCAGGGGTTTGAGTCGAGACCAGCCTGGGCAACATACCGAGACGAGACCCTGTATCCAAAAAAAAAAAAAAGATGCGCAGGGTTTTGAGTGCACATTAGTTTCAGGAGCACTGGTTTATAGCCTCATTAATTAGGTTCTATTACAAGCAACTGAAACATTCCTAACAGCTATTATGTACGTCCTAGGTATACACATGTATGTGAATGTATGTGTGTATATATACATACATAAATATGCATACATATAGAAAATGTATTAGTATGTGAATATATTATATATATTATTTGTATGTGAATAGGAAAGGAAGGACACAGCTAGGCTGTGGGAATGGGTGCCTATGTGAGAGGAAGTCTGGGGTGATTTCTTCTTAAATACTTCTACAGTGTTTGGAAAATAATTATTTTTAAAGCCATGAATATGCATCTCTTGGATAATTGACGCGGAAGCGAGGCTTACCCGCTCTCCTCCCTGTCCAGCAGGGCGTGGTAGGACGCCACGTCCTTCTGCAGCTGGCACTTGCGGGCCAGCAGATGCGCGCGCTCCTGTTGCTGCTGCTCCGCCTCCGCTCGGATTTCCCTGAGCTCCGCCTCCAGCCGGCCGACCACAGCGCCCAGGTTCTGGAGCTCCATGTCATGCCAGTGCTTGGCATCGTGCAAGGTGTTCTCCAGGCCTCGTTTCTACAAAAGAGCGAACCCGGTCCAAACCCGAGGACAACAGGCCGGGCCCTTGAAGAGGGAGGTGTGCAGAGCAGTGGCAGGGGCTGGTGGTAGCCTGGACTATTCCCCTCGTGGCAGGGACCTTGCCAGTTATGGAGACTGATGGGGGTTATTCTTAGTGGCTCCGTGGGAAAAATAAGGAATCCCACTCAGGTCAGACTGTGGATTAGTCTGATTGATCTTTTTGATGGGAGAGAGGGTGAGGGAGGCGAAAAAGAGAAGGAGAGAGGGAGGGAGAAAAGAAAGGGGGTGTGAGGAGAGAGAGGAGCGGGGCAAGAGGGATAGGGATTGAGAGAGACAAATGAGAGGCAGCTTGCAGGCGTTTCTTCAAAGAAATCTTGTTCTCCGGGGCTTTTTCTTCTGATTTCTTCACTCCCCGGGGGACCCCTTCTCCCTCTGCTGCTGAAACCCCATCCATCATTTGGCTGGAACACCATCTCCTCCAGCTTTCTTTCCCAGATCACTGTCCTTAGAATGAATGTCTCTGGCCTTTATATACTCAGCGCTTTCCCCTTTGGTGTTTTAGTAGCACATTTTTGCCCATCCCTTTTCCTCTGCCGTCCCTTCACTTTGGGCTTCCCAGTGCCCACCCTGAGCCCGCTTTTTTTCCAAGGAGCGCATCCTGGGTCTGTGTTGGTCTCCATCATACTCATGATTTGAACATACTCATGAGTCGTCTCCAGGCCACGTCCTGCGTTGATAATTCCACCACCAATCTTTCCTTCAGTAGCTATGGACCTGCCACTGAACTTCTTACTGGAAACATATACTCAGACCTCACATCAAGGTGTCCAAAATGAAGCCACTGGCTGCCTCCTGAACCTGCTGGCTCCCCCTAGTCTATGCTTCAACGGGTGAACCCATGTGAGCTGGAAACCAGGGAAAGATGTGTTCCTGCTTTCCTTCCTTCTCTTCCTTCCAAATGCAACCATCATGGCCTCCTGTATATTATGAGTCCTGCTTCTTGTATCTCTTGAGAAGTTTTCACATTCTGCAGCCACCATGGTCTGGGATTGGGAGCTTGTCACCTCTCACCTGTGGTACCCTCAGTGGCCTCTTAGCTCATCTCCCCACCTCTAGTTCCTCCTCTTCCTGAGTTCCACACACAAATAGCCACAGTACTCTGTCCAAAGCCCAAACCTGGGCCTGTATCTCCTCTGCTTAAACTCCATTGATGGCTCCCCAGGGCCCCTGATATGGCACACACAGCTGGCCCAGTATGTTTCCATCTTTATCCCCACCCTACAGCAGCATCAACACTTCCAGTCTTGGAGTTTATTTGGTCTGTGTTCTTTCCTCCACCTGCACCATGCTCCTCCATTCCTTCCAGCATCCTCACCTCACTCACTCCTACTCATCCCCAAGTCCAAGCTTAGAGGTAACCTGCCCCAGGAAGCCTTCCTTGAAACTCCTCTGCCGCTACCATCACCAAGCTGGGTTAGGAGACCCTCTGTATTTCCATGGCTCCCCAAGCTCATGCATGCTCTTGAACTTATCACAGTGGGCTAAGCTTGCTTATGGGCACGTCTTTTCCACCAGATGGTGAGACTTGGAAGGAACCAAGTCTCTGTAGTCCCAGCACACAAGTCAGGGCCTGGCACAGAATAGGTTCTTGGTATGTGTAGATTGCCCTGGATGATAGCACTTGTATTATGGTTACACTTATTGCACTATCTATGTCTCCCCATTAGACTGGAAACTTCTTTCTTCTCATCTTCCCATGCACCATGTCCTGAAAACTACAGAGCTAATCAATAAACCCCTTTAAAAAACTGTATCTGTGTTCAACATTTTCCAATAGTTTTAACTATGGTTCACCTATACTTTAGCATCTGGCTTTTTAATATAACACACAAAAAACAAATATCTTTCTAAATTGGATTGAATTAAATTTTGATGCAACAAGTTTCTGTACCCTGTCCTCCAGGAGGAGACTTTTTACACCCTTATGACCACTATGGATGAAACAGAAAATTCTGTCACGACACCATCTTGAATCATGACTGCTGTTAGCATGGATCACCATATTACCTTATTTAAATCTTCTTAATTCCATAGGATATGAGAATGTTGAGTCAGATTCTCATCTGTCTGAGGCATATTTATAAGAGGCAAAACGTGATCACTAGAAAATAAATCTAGATCAGTATCTGGTCTAGGGTTATTATTTAACTAATAGAATCTGGAAACCTTTCTATAGCAGTGAGGATGCAGAAATGGCCACCTTGACTTTGAGCATCATTTGTTCCAACCTCCCTGGGTTTTCTCTCTTTGTTTATGCATGAAAGTACTTAACTTGTGACTAGTTGTTGTTGACATTGGATTTGTAACATCTGTGATTTGGGAACACGCTTCACAGAATCACGGTTGGATCATCTGTCTATAGTTTTTGCTCCATCTTCTAGGTGAGTTCTTCATGTGGCCTGAGGTTTTTCCATGGTGACTTAGGACCCACTGCCAACAGGGCATTCATTGGAACCCCAGCCAAAGGTTATATGTGTCTTCCATCTCACCCTTAAAGTCCGAATCCAGCTTCCCCACCTAAGTCCCTGACATTATGGCAGAAAGAGAGGATGCCTGGTTCTCCCAGAGATGCTTGAGCTGGAGTGACTATGATCAGGCTACTGTTGCAGGCAAGTACACTGGCTCAGTCAGCCACGCAGACAGCACCAGCAAACAAGCTGAGATCACAGAAGCACACTTATTCTGCAGGTCTCTGGAGATTTGAAGGGACTTTCTGGGATTGCAAAATCCTCCAGAAAGTAAAATAGTGACCTTCTGTGACTTCTGGCCTTGAATTCCATTCCTGATTTGAGTTGACTGGACACAGAGTTCAGCAGGTCTCAAGCACCATTATTTGTGCCTAGCTTCCAATGCAAATAGTGCCTTATTGGCAAAGGGGGCCGAAAGTCTCGCCAGCTTGGCTGTCTGAAGCTTATATAAGCTGCGGGGGCCTTGTGTGTGCACAGATCGCTCTGACAGAATAACAGGAATGGCTGGATGAACTTCCTGTATCTGAAAACTGTATGAGAGTTTGTTACCTATTTTGTCCCAATCTGTGCTCCTCACCTTGGCTGCAAGGCCCCGTGACCAGAACGATAATCTACTAGAACCAGCAGGGAACAGAGGCAGCCTGTTCTGGGCTATGGGCATAGACAGAATGGCACTACTCTGAAGTTTTCTGGTTGAGAGTGTAAATTATTTTTCCATTTTTTTCCCCAATGGTTAGGACCCTGGGTTTAAGTGAGGTGACCAGGTGGCTGGTGATGCCAACTTGGAGTTACTGTACTAGTAGCTATTATAGCAATTTTATATGATAATTAATAATAGATGGCATTTATTGACTGCTCACTAACTGCCAGGCACTGTGCTAAGGGCTTGACATACATTATCAAATTAATCATCTCAATGACGTTATGAGGTAAATTCTATTACGATCCTAAAGTGGCTCACACTTGCATTGGCAGCTACAACAATTATCTCCACTCCACAATCGCTTTCTCAATGTGACCTTGCCATTGTCTCATCAAGAAGTTGAATTTATTTCTCTCCCTGTTGAATCTAGGATAGTCTTGTGACTGCTTTGACCACTAGAATGTGGTATAAGTGATGTCCAGAGACTTTCGAGCCCAGGTGTTAAGAGGCCTGGTAGCTTCTGTGCTCACTCAGGTGCTATATCAGAAGTTTGACTATGTCAGGCTGTCATGATATGAGGAGGTCTAAGCTAGCTACACGGAGTGGTCACAGGGAGAGAGAAAAAGAGATGCACAATTGAGTCACCAGAGAAGCTAAATGAAGAAGCCATTTTTGGGTGTTCCAGCCCCAGCAGAGGCCACATGATACAGAGAAGAGTTATCCCTGCTGAATTCTGCCTAAATCACAGAATGAGAGAACAAGTGATTCACTGTTGTCTTAAGCTACTAAGACAGTAACTAGATATGATAGCCAAAATAGATCCTCACTTTACAAGTGAGAAAATGAAAGCTGTTCATTCACATAGCTAGTGAGTGAGGAGAGCACCCACCACGAAGTCTACCTCCTGACTCCCACAGCAGGGGTGCTCTCTCCCATCTGCCCCTCCCTCACATTTGTATCAGCTCCTCCACCGAAGCCACATTAACTCTTTGGAGGCAGGGACCATATCTCATTAGTTTTATGTCTCCAAAGCACTTGGTACAGTTCTAGGAACATAGCAAGTTCTCAAAATAATGCTAAGAGTCAGAAGAGCATGCTCATGTGCATCCACACATTGGATCCCCCTAGAAACACTGAGAAGTGGGCTGGACTGTGACTATCATACCCATTTTGCAGAAGAGGAAACTGTGGTTCAGGGATTTGCCTCTTTACCCAAGGGATAAATGGAGGAGCTGAGCCCTTCTGACTCTATTACTCTTGATTTTCCTCCCCTCAGATCCTCAGATCCTTTTCTTATACATGCTTGCACGGACCTACATCCTATCATGCGCCTCATTGACTCCAGGCCATCTCAGCTGCACAAGGATTACATGGACCAACCTTTGATTTGCACCAACGAAGCTGTAGTTAGAACAATGCAAATGACCTCCTGGAGGGGACATCTAAGAAAAGATGTTTAATACCCAAATAGAACTTCAATCCATTCCAGAGATCAGAGGGTGGATTGCTTCATTATTAATACATTTTATTATTTTAATATTTTAATAAATAATTAATAATGAAAGAGACGAGCTTGCAAATCCCAGTGAGTCTGAGAGCTTACTAGATGTCTCAGGTTGGGTTCTCCAGAAGCAGAGCCTGAGTTAGGGATCCTGGAACTCGCAAATCATTAAGGAGTACTCTCAGGAAAAGGGGGAGTGAGGAAAGCAGGACAGGGCAGAGGAAGGCACTAAGCGAGGATGTGGTCTCTGGAATCTGGCTACAGCCTGGTCCTATGGAGAGCTCTATAGCATGGAGCTAGCTCCATGTTGAAGCAAAAGGGCTGGGCTTTTAATTTTAAAGCCCCCTCTTAGTCACTGGCTGAGCCTTGGGGGGCAGGGCCTAACCTTCTGGGCCAGGTGTCCTCAGTGTGGGTAAGGGCAGGTCTCTGGAGCAGTGGGGCAGCTGAAAAGGGGCGGCTGCAGATGTTAACAGTCAACATTTACTGCAGCAGCCTGGTAAGAGATATTTCCGTGGGGCACTACAGTGTCTATTGCACCTGCTGTGATTCAGTATCTGATGATCCTTGGGAGTCAGAAGACATTTCAGGCCTCAAAACTCATATGCTGTGAGATGGGAATCCCCTGGAAACTAAGATCCATAATACTGGAATTTGACAGTAGAGAGTTAAAATTAGCACAAGGACACCAGGTCTTTCCTTGGCCCACTTACCAGGGCACGTAAGGATTCTGTCTCAGCCTGGAGGCTCTGGACTTGGCACGAAGTGTTGTGTAACTCCACCCTGAGGGCAGCTGCCAGCTTCTCCTCCTGGGTCTGGGACATGTGGGCCACCTCCGCCTGTTGCTGTGGAGAGTCAGGTCTCAGTGTGAGCGGTGATGATCAGAAATCTGAGCCCATCCTTCCTTCCCAGCCTTTCTAATCACCACTCCACTGCCTCTAACCAGAGGAAATACAGCTGTCACGTGGAAACATCTTTTTTTTTTTTTTTTTTTTGTTGAGATGAAGTCTCGCTCTGTAGCCCAGGCTGGAGTGCAGTGGTGCGATCTCAGCTCACCACAACTTCCTCCTCCTGGGTTCAAGCGATTCTCCTGCCTCGAGTAGCTGGGATTACAGGTACCCGCCACCAGGCCTGGCTAATTTTTTTTGTATTTTTAGTAGAGATGGGGTTTCACCATGTTGGTCAGGCTGGTCTTGAACTCCTGACCTCAGGTAATCCGCATGCCTTGGCCTCCCAAAGTGCTAGGATTACAGGCGTGAGCCACCACGCCTGGCTGGAAATGTCTTTTTTTTTAAACAGGTCCCTTCACCAACTTGTATACAAAAATGTATTTATTTTGAACATACGATGCCTGCAAATGAAATACAATTCAAAAGATTTCCTACAGACTATAAAGTCTCATTTTCTCCTGTGTCTTAATTATCCAGTTCTCTTGTTTCTAGTTTCTTATTCCTCTTTCCAGAAATAGTTTATATATTTATAAATAAATATGTATTGCCCCCCCCGTGCTTTGGTACTTAAAGTATCTTAGAAATTATTCTATATCAGTACATATTAGGTTGGTGCAAAGGCGATTGCAGTTTTCGCCACTACTTTCAATGGCAGAGACAGCAATTAATTTTGCACCAACCTAATAGAAATTGAGTACATTCTTTATAGCGGCTGCACAGTGTTGTCTTGTTTGGAAGGGCTGCAATGTATTTAGAAGTCTCTGCTGGTGGACACTCAGATTGTTTCTAGTCTTTCTTTCTCTATTACAAACAATGGTGCAAAGAAAAAGCTTTGATCCCTTATTTTTCATACAAGAGCATGTCTTTGAGAAAGTAGTTCTTGTAGTAGAACTGCTGATTAGAAAGGGTATATATTTTTAATTTTGGTGAATAGTGGCAAATTTCCCTTCGGAAAACTTGAAATCCATTTCAGCATTGTAAGACAGTGCCAGTTGTCCCATACCGCCCTCAAACCAGGAGTTATCCAACTTGATCTCTGTCAATCTGATAGTGCCTGTTTCCTTGTGAAAACCATGTGTCTAGTCACAACTGTGACCCAGACAAAGGGAAGCTCTGTGTTTTTAACTTCTCCCCAGAGCAAGATGGACAGAGTCTGATCCCTCCCCATATATTCAGGGGAACAGGTCATTGTTACTCCTCTGTTCTGGGGAAAAGATGAAAAATGAGAGATCATCCCCATTTTCTTCGATGCAGTCTGATGGAACGTCTCCTAGCCAAGAATGGAGGAGGGAAAAAACTCTACTTTCCTAGGTTACGGTTTTCTGGAATTACCATTTTTACCACATATGAATATTTATTTACAGAATAGTCCAAAGACAGTCCAATCTAATGGACTGGCTAGAAACCCCAAGTCAAGGCTGGGTGCAGTGGCTCATGCCTGTAATCCCAGCACTTTGGGAGGCCGAGGTGGGTGGATCACCTGAAGTCAGGAGTTCAAGACCAGACTGACCAATATGGTGAAAACCCGTCTCTACTAAAAATACAAAAATTAGCCAGGCGTGATGGTAGCGTGAGCCTGTAGTCCCAGCTACTCGGGAGGCTGAGACAGAGAATTCTTGATCCCAGGAGGCGGAGGTTGCAGTGAGCCGAGATGGCACCACTGCACTCCAGCCTGGGTGACAGTGAGACTCCATCTCAAAAAGAAAAAAAAAAAAAAAAAAGAAACCCCAAGTCAAGTGGCTCATAGCTCAGTAGTAGCACCTCCAATTCTTACTGTTTGGTCTTTACAGAGCCCAAAGAATGACCATTAAAGGCTTTGGAGTCGCTGAAGGAGAACAGAAGCCTTGGACCCAGCTCTGACTGGTTAGCCAACAGCTTGTGTCCCTAAGCCATCATTCAGCTTCTCAGAGTCTCAATTTCTGCCCATGGAACACAGACCACAATGAATGGAGAATAATACTCATTATCATATAATGACTCCCTCCTGTGGTCACTGTGAGGCTTCCAGCAGATTAAGCATGCTGAAGCCTTTAGAATCTTAAAAGCATGAAAACACTGACTATATATTTTCCAAATGTAAAAAGTAATAGTGGCCAACAAATAACTTTTGTTATTTAATAGTTAAATAACAAAGTGGTAATAGTTAAATGCTACTATGAAGAGTCAAATATTTAGTAACAATTAAATAGTAATAGTTAAATACTACTAATAATAAAGAATATGTATTAGGCACTTATTCTGTGCCAAGCACATTGTTAACAGTTTTAATCAAGTATCTAATTTAATCTTTACAACCCTATGAAGGAGATGTCATTATTATCCTCATAGGAAACTGAGGCACAGGGAGATTGAGTTATTTGCTCAAGATTATATGGCCAGTGAGAGACAGAAAGAGGATTCCAGCCCAGCAGCAGACCCAGAGATGTGCTCTCAACTAGTATTTAATGTTGTCATCTCCACCAATCTACCAATTTAAGATCCCTAAAATTGGAGGTATCTTCCCCAAACTCAGGTGGATCATTCTGAAGTATACTCCTTGTCTTCCAAGTTCTTATGATCAATACCCCAGTTTTTCTCCCCTCTTTGGGGTTGGGTTCCTGGCCAGATGGGCTGTGTAGGTAGGTAGGAGGCAGGAGGTGGGGCATCCTGGAAGGCAAATGGAGTCAGACAATGTAGCTACAGAGGGTGGCGGGGAGCAGTAGTGAGCTAGAACTTGCTCCTAACAGCTCACGGGAGCTGATTTTTAAATTTTCAGGAATGTTGTAAGTTGACTGCTAAACACAGCCATCATTAGAAATTAAATTACATTGTTACTGGTAACTGTAACAGAGGTAGCTAATAGGTAGCCAGTCAGACATGAACAGGGCGGGAGAGGCACCCCCACAACCAACTAAGAATGTCAGGTGACCATCAGGTGATGGTCAGGTGGTTGTTAACAGTCTCTCTAAAATAATAACTTGTCACAGCTGGCAGGGAAAAGCAGTCTCCCTAAAGATAGAAAAAACCTGAAACTGGTGATCAGCAACTTCCTGATAAGATCTCAGGAGTTGGGCAAGTGAGCTCAAGCATGCACACTAAAAGGCAAAATGGCAGAGTTAAACTGGTATATGACCTCCTAGGGGCATTTAGCTGGTAAGAGAAGAATGCCTTAAATGAGCAGGTGTACAACTCCAGTAAACACACTGCGCATGCTCCCCTCCGAAGTGCTAGCAGGCCATCGCACATGCGGACACCCCACCCCAAGGGAGGAATCGGGAGAAGGGATGAAAGATCCCAGAAGCATGCCAACGTATAAATCCCCAAGTCAAAAGGTCAAACTGCGCACTTGTCTTTCAAGTTGCCTGCTTGGCCCTCTTCCAAGTGTATTTCCTTCCTTTTGTTTCTGCTCTAGAGTTTTTTGTTTGTTTTGTTTTGAGATGAAGTCTTGCTCTTGTCCCCCAGGCTGGAGTGCGATGGTGCGATCTCAGCTCACCGCAACCTCTGCCTCCCAGGTTCAAGCAATTCTCCTGCCTCAGCCTCCCGAGTAGCTGAGATTACAGGCGCCTGCCACCATGCCCGGCTAATTTTTGTATTTTTAGTAGAGATGGGGTTTCTCCATGTTGGCCAGGCTGGTCTCGAAATCCTGACCTCAGTTGATCCGCCGGCTTCAGCTTCCCAAAGTGCTGGGATTTCAGGCGTGAGCCACCGCACCCGGTCTCTGCTCTAGAGTTTTTAAATAAACTTTCACTCCTGTTCTAAAACTTGCCTCCGTCTCTTCTGCTTTATGCCCTTCAGTTGAATTCTTTCTTCTGAGGAGGCAAGAATTGAGGTTGCTTCAGACCCCCTACAGATTTGCCACCAGTAACAAATAATGTGAGTGACTTTTTGCTTAATCAGAAATTAGTAATCAAGCATTTTTTGTAGTCTGATTTTGTGATACTATTGTTGATGATAGAATTATAAAAAATGGTTGGTGAATTTTCCAAGAAATAGCAAGTCATGCTGAAGTTATAGGTGTAATTGAAATAGCAAAGTATTTTGTCTTAAAATTTGTGTTATTTCTAAAATTATATATAAAAAAATCAGTGGGAATTGTTACATTACCCTTAAGCAGTATTGTGAATGTGATTGGCACATATATACATATACATATATTTCACCCAGAAAGCAGTTGTGAAACATTTACCATCACTCCATACGGAAAAGCCAGGGAAGGAATGGAGGCAAGTTTCAAAGCCTTGGTGTGCAGGTCTAGTGTAAAGCTGCTGGCCAAGGCTATAGCCACAGTCCCTCACATGATTTGTCCCCTCTCAATCCAGTGAGCAGCTTCCGTGATATTTACTGGTTTCTTGGCTGAAACACCATGTCTTAGTTTCATTAGCAAAAATACTGTATTTAGGTGTTTCTCAAATGTTCTTGCACCACTGACATGGTTTTTCACACTCTCTTAATACTCATTCATGCTATTTTTATTTAAACCAATTCACTCTTTTTTTACAAATAAACGTGTTTAAAATGGAAACTGTAGGTTAGTTATCTGTAAACTGTAGGTTAGTTTAAAATGGAAACTATAGGTTAAATGCGCATGAGCGTCACCTTAGGATCTTGAGAAAATGTGGGCTCTGATGCAGGGGATCCTGAGTACAGCTCAGAAATCTGCACTCCCAGGTCCATGCCTGCCTGGTCCATGGAAGCAAAATTCTAGATCGCTGCAGAAACCAATGAAACAGTATCCCTTGCAGTGGGTAGAGGATAACTAAAAAATTAATAAAGTTATAACCAACCACTGTTATTAAATTCCAGCTACCATTGACTGCCAAGCTGCTAAGTCCTGAGGCCTGCTTTCTCTTTGTGGAAAGGGGAGATAAATAAGTACAACAGAGGTGTTAAAGACCTCCCAGCACTGAACAGAGGCTTTCTTCTAGTTTAAGATTGAAAGAGCAAAAGAATGTAATTTGATCACTACAAGTTTTAATGTCACTGTGTTCCTTCTCAAATCATCTCACCACAAGAGATACTTCCCACTTAATTGCTTTAACTCACCTAAAGTAACCACTGCTAAAAGTAATTCACCTAAAAGTATTACACATTTTTATCCAATGGCTTTTTAGATTTGTGCTTTCTGGTTATTATAACTCTATTTCTGTTTCCATTTCAACCCTGTGCCTCCAGATTTCTTCTCATAGACCAGAGAGTAGGTGTGTCATCTAGCCCCTGAGGATAGGAAGGTGGGGCTGTGTTTTGTTGCCCGGTGCAGTTGTTAGGGTGTGTGATGAAATTCAGATATGTTGATCCCTAGGCTTTGAAACTGCACAGGACCTGAGCCGCCCGTGTTTGCACTCCAGCAGGGTAGGAGTGCAATTACTTCTGGGGCAGGAGAGCATGTCGACATTTTGAAACATAATAAAGATTTTCAAATTTCAAAAATTTCAAATTAAATTAGCATGTTTTTGCACATGAAGGATGTGAGAAGAGAAAAGCAATGTGTTCTAAGTAAGTAATAATTAAGTATTTGAGAGCCTGACTCTTGAAGATACAAATGAGGACTGGGAAAGAGGAAAAGAACCATCTCCAAGTCCAAGCCTGACCCACTTTGCTGATTAGGATGGCCATTCCTAAAAACACCCTTGGCAATGACCCAGAACTGACAGAAACGCTACCTTTGCAATGTGAGGGGAAGGCGAGTGTTCAGGAGGAGGGAGAGTGAGGAGAGAGAATGTTGATACTTCCTGGTCTTTGAAATTGCAAGTGCATTCTCAGCAGATCATGTATCCAGATGAGCTGTCTGCCTCATGTGTCTTCTGCCTTTCACTAAGCAGTTGCTGTGCAGGTTTGAGCAAGTCACTCGAGCACTCTGGTTTTTGCAACTGGTGATCAATTGCTTTATATGAGCATTGTTCTACTGCAGAATGCAGCTACCTGCCTTGGCTCTTAAGCACTTTTCAGATTTCATGAGATCATGCTAATCTCATCGTGCTGTTCATGGAGAAAGGTAAACAATGGTCCCGTGGGAATACAGGGGTTCCCTATCTTGTGTCATAGAAGAATCCCACAAGGAGGGCACAGACGCTTGGTTTGAAAAGCTCCCAACAGAAGTCTGGCATAACTTTTAGCCCCCCGGGGACAAAGGCCTCTCCAACCTCACATTCCACAAGATGTCACTTATTTATTCTTAAAAAAGAAATCAGCTGGGCATGGTGGCTCACATCTGCAATCCCAGCACTTTGGGAGGCCAAAGCAGAAAGATTGCTTGAGGCCAGTAGTTCAAGACCAGCCTGGGCAACATACTGAAATCCTGTTTCTACAAAAAAATCTTTTAAAAACCAAATTAAGGTCCCCCCATTCATGTGGTCTGTCCAGTTCAAACTAACAGTTAAGAGTGTGGATTCTGGAGTCAGAATGTGTAATTTGAATCCTAGTGTTGCCACTTTCTAAGTGTGTAATTTTGGGCAAATTACCTAACCTCTTTGTGCTTCAGTTTCCTCCTCTATAAAATGCTAAAATCGCAATACCTATCTCATGTTGGGAAGATTAAATGAGAACGTACCTGTCGGGTGCTTAGAACCCTTGGTAGATGCTCCATAAAAGCTTGGCTGGCTCTGCTTTTGTGGAAAATTTCATCCTGCCTTGTATAAGAGTAGCCTTTCTACCCATTTCTTGCCTCCCACAGGTACACCAGCCAACATCCACACTGGACTGTGGGTTCCTTATTTATAGGAACAACTTCTTACTCACCCCTCTGCCCCTTTTGGAGACCTAACATAGCTTTTTACACCTAGAATGTGCTCAACAATATTTACTGAAGGTTTACAATGTAGGCCAGGCACATGCTAGGGACTAGGGAAGAAGAGGAGGATCTACCAGGAATAGGATGAGATCAAATCTCCTTTTCATTAAGAGGATCAGCTATCGTTATTATAACAGTTGTAAGTCATTTTACAGTTACGTGGTGTCATATGTTATTTAGCTAAGGATAGCTTTTGACAGGCAGCACACACTCCCGACCTTCCTCAGCCAGATGTAGGATTTATTTGGGAGAAGGCTGGATGCCATCCAGTCTGCACTAGCAACATGGGCTCTCCTCAGCGGGGATTAAAAAGAAGTGCACGCCTCACTCAATGAAACTTCAACACTGGCAGAGGAGCTGGCCCGGCTGGGCTACAAGTTTCTCTGTGAGTTTACACAAGAACTGCCCAGCTATTGAAGCTGCTGTTTGAGTGTAGGACCAATTCCCAGCCTCCGTTGGAGCTGCCAAACAAAACACAGAGGAGTAAATGGCTTTGTGACCTTGCTGCCCCCTTGTAATAAGTAAGCTCATCCTCTTGATAAAATCAGCTGAAGAGGCTCAGCAATGAGTCTAATTCTAAAGAGAAAAATAGATTTTTCTATTATTTTATTTTGAGACGGGGTCTCACCCTGTTGCCCAGGCTGGAGTGCAGCGATAAGATCATAGCTCACTGCAGCCTCGACCTCCTGAGTTCGAGCAGTTCTCCTGCCTCAGCCTCCTGAGTAGCTAGGACTACAGTTGCGTGCTTCTACACCTGACCAATTAAAAACATTTTTTTTTGTAGAGGTGGGGTCTTACTATGTTGCCCAGGCTGATCTCAAACTCCTGGCCTCAAGGGATCCTCCTGCCTCCGCATTCCAAAGCACCAGGATTACAGGCATAAGCCACTGTGCCTGGCCAGTCCTTACACTTTTTATGGGAAAAATCTGTTAAAAAATATCTAAGGTATGCTTTGAGATCAGCACAGTCAGGTAGTCTGGGACGAGCGTTCTTTGAAGTCAGGGACTTCAGGAACCATAGCATCAAGTCAGGGCCTTGCACCTGGTTTGTCCTTGACAAACAGATTTTGAATGAATAAGTGAGTGGAGATTCCTTGGTAGAAGATGTAAGAAAGAGGTTGCAATGTTGGGTGATCCCCTATGTAGTTACCCAGATATTGGTAGTCAACCAGTTGTGAGTTTAAACACACAACATAAGAAGATAAGGGCCTGAGAGAGCGCTCTACAATGTCTGTGTTTTTTTGTTTGTTGTTTGTTTTTTTGAGACAAAGTCTCACTCTGTCGCCCAGGCTGGAGTGCAGTGGAGTGTTCTTGGCTCACTGCAATCCTCCACCTCCTGGGTTCAAGTGATTCTCATGCCTCAGCTTCCCCAGTAGCTGGGATTACATGTGTGTGCCACCACACCCGGCTAATTTTTTGTATTTTTAGTAGAGACGTGGTTTCACCATGTTGGCCAGGCTGGTCTTGAACTCCTGACCTCAAGTGATCTGCCTGCCTTGGCTTCCCAAAGTGCTGGGATTACAGGAGTGAGCCACCACACCCAGCCTGTGTGTTGTCTTAACTAGAGAAAAGAAGAGGCAAAGAGTAGGCAGTACCTACCTCAATGAGACAGTCTTTTGGTTTTTCCTTTTAAAATCTGCTCTGATTCTTGATTTTCCCTATTCTCTTTGCAGCCGCACCAACTGGTATATGCTACTATAGCATACAACTACAGTAACCCAAATGGGCAAAAGATATGATCTGCTAGTACACACAAAAGCAATTTGTAAGAAATGCATTTTAACCCATAGTATTAGCAAAGATCACAAAGTATTGGTGAAGATATGGGGAAATGGACACTCTCAAATATTTCTGATAGAAATGTAAATTGTTATAATCTTTGTAGAGAGCAATTGGCAATATTTATCAAAATTACCAGTGCACACACTTTTGGGGCCAACAATTCCATGTCTATAAGTTCATTTAACAGATACATTTCTATATATGGAAATGAGAGGTATACCATGTTAGTGACTAATTTCTTCTAATAGCAAAAGATTGGAAACCACCCTCAGTGCCCAGCAGTAGGGAACAGGCTAAACAAATTCTGGGGCATCTGTTAGCTAGAACAGAGGTTGACAACTTTTTCTGTGACTAGCTAGATAGTAAATGTTTTAGGCTTAGCAGGCCATATGGTCTCTGTTGCAACTATTGAACTCCACTTGTGTAGTGCAAATGCAGCCATAGATGATATGTAAATGAATGTGATGGTCATGTTCCAATAAAACTTTATTTGTAAAAACAGGCAATGGGTCAGATTTGGCTTGTGGGCCAGAGTTTGCTGCCCCCTGTGGTATAATATCATACAGTCATAAAGCAGTATGTTCTGAATACTACTTGTGTAAAAAGACAGGAAAAAAAATATATATATTTCTTTGTATATGGGTAAAATGTTTCTGAAATGACATACAAGAAAAGGATAACATTGATTGACCCCCATAGAAAAAAACGGTAGCTAGGACATGGGTTGGATAGCACTTTTCACTTTATATCTTTTGTATGTTTTGAATTTTGAACTAAGTGAATGTATTATCTATTATACATGTTGAAATAAAATAAAAGTCAATTTAAAAAGACATAAAAGCAAACAGGGCCCTTTTGTGAAGCTCTCTGTGAGATTCAGAGATATGAAGATGCTTCGGGATCCCCGTTCAGTGTTTGCCTTGAGCACACTGGCTACAGCCATGGCTTATTTCACTGAAGAGCCCTCAGGGAGTCCAGCCAGCTCATTGGCACACAGGAGCCTCTAGATTACAGATGCTGTCAGGCGTCCTGCTTTTGCTGTTCCCCTGGAAAGGAACTTTCCCAGGTGGTTAACATGGCAATAGCACAAGAGGTCATCTTGTAGTCTAGAGTCAGAGTGGCAGTGCCTGTTTTAATTCAGCTTCATATATCTTAGAAAATATTGACTCTTGTTGGTAAAAGCAAGAATAGAAAAAGTCTAGACAGAGTAGCTTGTATAAAATGTCTGTGTTTACAGGGAAAATTATTGTTTGTAAGTGTAGATGACATGGAGAGATGCTATTCAAGGTTTCTATTCTCCTCGTGGGTAAATCTAGACCTATGCTGTCCTCTAATAGAGCAGTCACTAGTCATCTGTAGCTGCTGAAATAAAAATTAAACATAATTAAAAGTTAGTTCCTCAGCTTTATTTATTTATTTATTTTTGAGACAGAGTCTCACTCTGTTGTCCAGGCTGGAGTGCAGTGGTGCGATCAGAGCTCACTGCAACCTCGACCTCCTAGGCTCAGGTGATCCTCCCATGTCAGCTTCCCAAGTAGTTTCCATGGGACTGCAGGCACATGTCACCACACCTGGCTAATTTTTGTATTTTTGTGGAGACAGGGTTTTGCCATGTTGTTTAGGCTGGTCTTGAACTCCTGGGCTCAAGCGATCTGCCCACCTTGACCTCCCAAAGTGCTGGGACTATAGGCATGAGCCACTGCACCTGTATAACCCCTTGAGGCCAGTAGCTACCATACCGGATTGCTGCATGGATTATAGAATATGCCCATCATTGCGATATTTCAGTTAGATGGCCCGGCTTTAGATGATCTTGAATGTTTCTTTTGGCCTTAAGACTATCAACAACCAGAAACCTCACAATTCATTTCAATCTATTCACTTGTCTTCATTCTTAATAGTTTGCACAATCTGTCATCCTGACATGTGACATGAAGGCATGATGGTTACAGCTCAGATAAAGTTCCTGACCGCAGATGCCTCAAACTGACCTGAGGCAAGTGCAGACCTGCTGTTAGAGAAGATAGCATGGGAGCAATCCATTTGTTCCTGACCCTGGGGACTCTTAAGACAGACTGAGTTCTCTCACATCCGGGCAACCACCAACTTGTGCTGGTGATTGATTAAGCCTTTGGGTATTGTATACATCAACCAGTTGCAGCAGGCAAGGGATGGAGAAATGAGGCCTCTGGGAATGAAAGTGTGGAGTCAGCTTTGGGCAAATGGAAATTGAATGGAAGGAGCATCTCAGGAAGAAGGCTAAGAAGGCAAAACAGAGCTTGCATTGCAGGAGGCAGACTTCAGACCAGGCTTAGGGTGAGGGAACAAAGACGTCTCAGTGCCCCGGCTGAGAAATTGGACAAGAAAGACGGGACCCGTGCTCCCCTACAGGAGGTGGGCTGAGGGCAGAGCTGTTTGCCTGGCAGAGGAGGTGAGATGGTGGGGGTTTGGGGAGGGGCAGAGTTTTAGTTCTCTGCTCAACACTGAGGGGCCTGGTAGGCAGAATTCTAAGATGGCCTCCATGATCTCTGCTCTCTGGTGTTATGTCCAATGATTAAATTATGTTAGATGACAAGGATGAAGAGATTTTGACATGTAATTATGGTTCCAAATCAGCTAAATCTGAGCTGATCAAAAGAGGAGTATCTGAGTGGGCCTGACTTAATCAGATTAAAGGCTTAAAATGGTAATGCTTTTCTGTTGGCCCTGAAGGAGCAAACAGCCATGTTGTAAATGGCCTCTGAGGAGGACTGGCCTCTAGGAGTTGAGGACCTCAAGCCTACATCTGCAAGGAATTGAACGATGCCAAGAACCCGAACAAACTCTGAAGATGAGAATGCGGCCCTGGTGGGTACCTTGATTGCAGCTTTGTGAGACCCTGTGATGATGCAGTGTAAACAAACCTATTGCACTGCCAGTCATATAAAAGTCTAGCACATACAATTATGTGCAGTGCATAACACTTGCTAACAATAGTAAATGTTACTGGTTTATGTATTTACTGTATCTATACTTTTTATCATTAGCATACTCCTACTTATTAAAAAAGAAAAATAGTTAACGGTAAAACAGCCTCAGGCAGGTCCTTCAGGAGGAATTCCAGAAGAAGGCATTGTTGTTACAGGAGCTGAAAGCTCCACACATGTCACTGCCCCTGAAGACCTTTCAGTGGGACAAGATGTGGAGGTGGAAGACAGTGATATTGACGATCCTGACCCTGTGTAGGCCTAGGCTAATGTGTATGTATGTGTCTTAGTTTTTAACAAAAAAAGTTTAAAAGGTTAAAAAAACCCCCTCTTAAAAATAGAAAACAAGCTTATAGAATAAGGATAAAAGAAAGAATATTTTTGTATAGCTGTATGACGTGTTTGCATTTTAAGCCAAGTGTTATTATAATAGAGTCAAAAATTTGGAGTTGGGGACTCTGTGCCCCTTCTCACATACGTTGCCTTAAGCATCTCCTCCATTTGGCTGCTCCTGAATTGTATCCTTTATAATAAGCTGGCAAAAATATGTAAAGTGTTTCCTTGAGTTCTGGGCACTGTTCTAGCAAACTATCTACTTATCCCTCTGCAGAGGAGGTTGTGGGAACCCCTAATTTATAGCCAGTTCATCCGAAGTATGGGAGGGCCAGACTTGTCATCTGAAGTGAGGGCTGTCTTATGGGACTGAGCCCTTAACCTGTGGGATCTGATACTACTTCAGGCAGGTAGTGTCAGGATTGAATTGAATTATAGGACACTCAGTTGGTGTTTGGAGATCTGCTTGGTGTGGAACAAACCTACATATTTGGTGTCAGAAGCATTTTGTAAGAGCATAGGGGACAAAAAGGATTTTTTAAAAAAGAGATGGGGTCTCACCATGTTGCCCAGGCTGGAGTAGAGTGGCTATCCATAGGCATGATCATAGTGTACTTCTCCTTTGAACTCTTGGCCTCAAGCAATCCTCCTGCCTCAGCCTCCTGAATAGCTAGGACTACAGGCACATGCCACAGTGCCCAACTTAAAAAAAAAGTTGTTTTGTTTTACTTGACTAACTAGGAGGTCTAGAGTGTGGTGTGGCATGTTGTCTGAGGTTCCTGAAGCATCCCTGAGTACCCTGCATTAGGTAACCACAACAAATAGACAAGGAAGAACTAGACTTTAAGACCCTCCAGAAATTCTCTGGACCAATCTGATCCTGTCATCACTGAATCATACAACTTCAGAAGCTTCAAAAACTGGACCATGAGGTTCCTGACATTCGTAACACCATAGCTGGAAAGAATATGAATACTGCACTGACCTTAGCCAGAACCTCTTAATAAATTTTTTTATGTCTCTATTTTATTAAGCTTTTAATGACTGAAAAAATAAACAGAATTGGCAGATAAGTTCTAGCAGATGCTGATGGTACCACCTTTATCCCTTAGGCTTTCGCAGTTTAGTGCTCTCCTGTTCCCCCTGCCAGATTCTGCATCTTTTTGCCTGAGAGTTTCTCTGAAGCCTTTGGAAGGCCACTCTGATAGCAGATGGCAGAAAACTGTTGGGAGATGGTATTAACATCTCAGCTCCCTTGCCTTTCCCCTCTCCTGTAGTCTATACCGTTTCTCACAATTCTTCTTGGTTTACACGTCAGTCTCCCACAGTGGTAACTGGTTTGATTAGGCATTCTTTGTTGGTTCCCTTCTTTGCTTCTCCTCTACTGGTATTTTGTTGGTTTTTAACTCCCCAACTTCCAGGTAAACTACCTTAACTCCAATATTTGTTTCAGGATCTGCTTCTGAAGGAACCTAAACTAAGATATAAATTAATCATGTTAATTAATTTTCAGCCTCTGTGGTCCGAAAGGTAATTAAATGCATGCTTGCATTTTCTTTACAAAAGCTTTTGAAAGCTGTGTGTGCTAAGCCATTTCACATTTATGCTATGCCGCCAAGAAACCGACAAGAGATGCTCAGGATGGGCAAATGTCAGCCCCTGAGGGCACAACTGCAACTGACAAAACTATTTATTGGAGGAATTCTGGCTGTCAGTTCAGATCTCTGTTGATGATCAGAGGAATTCACTCATTCTGCAAATATTTTCTGAGCTCTGCCTTTCTGCAAGAGGCCCAGGCAGCATTGGCCAAGCTAAAACAAATACTGTCTGTTTTCTCTGAGATGTAGCTTTCAGATTACTCTATTAAAAAAACACTAATGAATCTGTTCAGAATTAATGTTTGAGTTACTGTTGGGCTAGTGATGATTCTCCAAGGGGTGAGGAGGAGATAATAATGACCTTTTTTTTTTCTTTTTCATACTATGAAGGATTTATTTCTGATAATTATAATAGTCTGTCCTTTCCCAAAGAAACAGTTACCACAGTGTGGTGCACACCGCAGGAGGGCTGGGACAGAAGCAAAGTTTGCAAACTGCTGGGCCTCTGAGGTTTAGCTTTAGAAGCAGAGCCAGGGGAGAAACGATGCAGCCCAATGCAGAGAAAAGGTCTCTGGACCAAGAACAGGAGAGTTGAACTATGGAGCTCTCAACCAGCTGTGTGATCGTGGGAAGTCACCTGCACTCTCTGGGTCTCAGTTTCCTCACACCTAAAATTAGGGAATGGGATCAGATGGTCTCTAGGACCATTAATTATCTGTTATCTGTCATGAGTCTGTTAAAAAAGGCAATGGACCAAACTCAAATCTATGGCTTCACTTTACCTCTGTGTTGCTCCACTTCTCATCAGGTTGGGTGGGGCGAGGGGAAGTCATTTTTTGAATAACTAGGCTCTATTTGCCATAAAAAAGTGTTTGTAGTGACCTGGCTCAATGATTGGTGGTTAGAAAGAAAGGAAGCTATTGAAACGGGGTAGGGGTTGGAGAAATGGGTGAGTGAAAGGATGTTTTCTAGGCTGGAGAACATTTTGGGAATCCAGAATTGATGAAGACCCTGCTGGGAAGGTTCTTGTTGATACTTGGGGGATAGAGGGAGTATGGTGGGAGAAAGGACAGAAAAGCCTCTCCTATTTTTCTTTTCATAGCTTTTTATAATTCTTATGGTTCTCAAATCTGGCTGCATATTAGAATCATCCAGAGAGCTTTAAAAATCACAAAGTCCCTCTCCTCTGTCTGATTTGGTTGGTCTGGGATGGCGATTTTTGAAAATGCTCTGAAATAATTCTGCTGCGTAGCCAGGATCAAGAACCACTAAATAGTAATCAAGAGCTCAGAAACAGCCTTTTGCCTTAACTCAGACATCTACCTTATTTTCTCTACTTTTCCACATTTTCCTTCCTTGTCACTTTTCATCCTCTGTCTCAAGATTACAAAGTCAGAAATGGGTGGGAGATGGAGAAGGGAAGAACAAACCCTATGCATCCTATTTTCTGGTTAATTCCTGTATTATTTATGAGGTTTAATAAAAGTTGTTTTTCTTCCATGAATATAATGTATACTATTTAACAAAAACTTGAGAAATACTCAAAAACAAAAAAGAAAAAACATCTCAAAGTGTCAGACTGATCCATCACTCAAAGGCAACGACTGCTAATCCCATTTTAGTCTTTTCTTTCTAAAATTTTTTCTCAATGCCTAGTTTCTTTGTTTGAATGCTTTACCCTACTGTATATACCAGGAAGTGGCAAACTGCAGTCCACAGGCCAAATCCATCTCACCGCTTATTTTTGTAAATAAAGTTTTATTGGAACACAGCTATGCTCATTAGCTACCTATTGGCTACAGCTGCTTTTACACTGCAGTGGCAGCGCTGAGGAGTTACAACAGAGGCCATCTGGCCCAAGAAGCCTGAAATATTTACTGTTTGGTCCTTTACAGAGAATATTTTTTGGCTTCTGGCATATACCATTCTGTACTCTCATTTTCTCCTCATTTTACCTCATATTATGAACACATTCCTATTTTATAAATGCTTCATAAACATTAATTCTAATAACTGCCTGATATTTTACTGCACATAGGTAGGTTGTGGCTTAGATTTTCTTCTACTAGTAAATGTGTATGTTTTTTTCACTCTTATAATGCTTCAGTGAGTATATTTGGACACAGATGATTTATTTTTTCAAATATTCTTTTTTTTTTTTTTTTTTTGAGACAGAGTCTTGCTCTGTTGCCCAGGCTGGAGTGCAGTGGCCCAATCTTGGCTCACTACAAGCTCCGCCTCCCAGGTTCACACCATTCTCCTGCCTCAGCCTCCCGAGTAGCGGGGACTACAGGCACCTGCCAATGCGTCCGGCTAATTTTTTGTATTTTTAGTAGAGACAGTGTTTCACCCTGTTAGCCAGGATGGTATCGATCTCCTGACCTCATGATCCGCCCGCCTTGGCCTCCCAAAGTGCTGGGATTACAGGCGTGAGCTACCACGCCCGGCCTCAATTATTCTTTCAGGATTGTATTCAGATTATTCAGTTGGTAGCTAGGGGCATTTTAACACTCTTGGTGCATATTACTAAATTTCTTATTCAAAGGCAGTGCACTAGTTTATGCTCTTCAGTAATACAGTAGAGAACCTACTTCTCCACATACTTGCCAGCATTTTTACCATTTTAAACATTTTCTACTTTTAGATAGGTAAACAAAAAGCTATTATTTTAATTTTCATTTCTTCTGTTTCTAATGAGGTTGAACTTGTTACTAAACCGTTGTTATTTCTTCGTCTGCACATTGACTAGTTTGCAGCTCAGCGTGGCCTCCTTCTGCATAGGGCAGAGTGGAGGATGCTGGTCCTGCCTCTCACCTTAGCTTGGAGCAGGGCTCCTGCCTCCACCCGGTTCTTTTCAACATCTCTCTCCCACTGAATTCTGATCGTCTCAAGGATGTCGTCCAGACCAGTGCCAATGGGAGCATCCATTTGTTCCAGCTCACACCCTGCCAACTGTTTGTGCAGCAGCTTCACATCCTGAAAACAACAATATACATCTTAGATGAGTTACGGGGGGAAATAAATGGCATAGAATTCTAGCCAGCAGAAAACCAGCTCTGTGGGCAATTCTTTTCTCATTCCACAACTGCCAGACACAGGCTTCACAGAGACTGGGAAAGTCCCTGACCTTCTTCCCAGCGTAAGTGTAATTTCTCTTTTCCCAAGGATGCATTTCTCCCTCTCTCCCTCCCTTCCTTCCTTCCTTCCTTTCCTTCTCTCTCTTTCTTTCTTCCTCCCTCCTTCCCTCCCCCTCCCTCCCTCCTTCCTTCCTTCCTTCCTTCCTTCCTTCCTTCCTTTCCTTCTTTCCTTCTTTCTCTTTCTCTCTCTCTTTCTCTCTTTCTTTCCGTCTGTCTTCCTCTCTCTCTCTCCTTCCTTCCTTCCTTCTTTTTTTTGACAGGGTCTCACTCTGTCACCCAGGCTGGAGTGCAGTGACATGATCTCAGCTCATTGCAGCCTCCATCTCTTGGGCTCAAACAGTCCTCCCACCTCAGTCTCCTGAGTAGCTGAGACTACAGGCACAGGCACGGCACACACCACCATGCCCAGCTAATTTTTGTATTTTTAGTGGAGACAGGGTTTCACCATGTTGCCCAGGCTGGTCTTGAACTCCTGGGCTCAAGTGATCCCCTGCCTTGGCCTCTCAAAGTGCTGGGATTACAGGCTTGAACCACCATGCCTAGCACCAAGGATGCATTTCTTAGGTTGGTCTCCACAAGCCCAGGCCCAAAGCAGAAATCAAAATAAAACAAACAAACAAACAAACAAACAAACAAACAAAAAACCACATGTATACATATGTAACTAACCTGCACATTGTGCACATGTACCCTAAAACTTAAAGTAAAATAAAACAAAAACAAAAACAAAAACAAAGTAAGCAACAACAGCACAGGGCATTTATGCATAAAGCCAGACAAGGATGAAAGAGACTTAAAAGATAACTTTGGCATCTCTAAATGGTTACTGTTGGAGAGTAGTCTTAAATCACTGAGCTAAGAACAAGAAGAAATGGGCTTACAGTTGCTGGTTAGCTTAAGTTGGTCTCAAGAAAGAACTTCCCAATGTGAGCATCGTTAAGTGGGTTTTGACTCTTTCAACTTGAAGCAGCCTAAATCTTGGATCAGACAGTAATATGTGTGAGGTGGTTTAGAATTGCTGAAGTCTCGCAGGGAACTAGACCCCATAACTGTTGGAGGTCCTCTTCAGTTCTGTCACTCAATAATCTGACCCAGTTTTGTTAATGAGTAGATGTCAACCACAGCTTGGATCTACCCTCAGAGTTGTTTTGTTTGTATAATACAGTGTTGAAAAAAAAACCTGACATAGAATGCATTGAGGAGGGGTTGCTCCCTCTAATTTAACACAAGTTCCCTCATTTGCTAGTGCCAAGACTGGCTGCCTTCCCCTGTTTCTGTACCACACTGGTTCCTGAAGCTATTTGAGTTTGAGACTGCTGGGGTAACCTGACCCACTTCAAGGATCTGAAAGTATTTTACAGGTATGTTCCCTGCAGTCCTGGGCACGCAATGTGGAGAGTCAGAAATGAGCTACTGTGGCCTTGTTATGAAGCACAGGCAGACAGATGTGAACTTCTGGTCTTGTGGCCAACCCAGCAACCCCAGCCCCCTCCTACCTCTTCATAGTTTCTTGATAGAGAGCCAAGTTCTTCTTTCAGACTTTCTATTTGACTCTCCAGGTCCATTTTAGTCAAATTAGCCTCATCAATGACTTTATACAGAGAGTTAATTTCCTCTTCTGCCGCCTTTCGAAATGGCTGCTCATTTTCATATCTGCAGATAAAGGAACTTAATTAGCATAACTGAGTAGCCCAAAAGAAAAAGAATCAGATTATAAATGTTACCAACAGGCCAATTATGTGATAGTTAGACAATGAATGGTAAAAGTCACTGTTTCAATAGATTTGAGGGCACTGTTAGTGCAGTTGTCACACATTGATTTATTAAAATGAAGGCAATTGCAGCCAACTTCTGATAACCTGGCTTCCCGGGCTACCAGCCTCATGGGAGTGTTGCAACACAGAACTCCAGGGAAAACTCAGGAGTTCAGATCCAGGTTAGGGGATCCGGCATCTTCATCGCTATCCTGATTGTCCTCCTTTTCAACCAAGGATCCTTTAACAAACATTACTGACAACCTGCTAAGCACCAGGGTGGGGACCCCAAAATAAGAAATGTGGTTTCTGTCTCCAAAGCACCCATGTTAAAAGTGTCCATCTCCAGGAGAGTGGCTGCAAACCCAGATGCCTTCAGGGACTGAGTGGGAGGTGTAGCTGAGCACGGTTCTCAAGCCTGGATGCACATTAAGTCACCTGGTGAGCTCTAAAACTGCTGAAGCCTGGACCCAACCCCTGGGGACTCTGATTTAATTAGTCTATGGCTTGTGCACTGCACTGACATTTTTAAGTGCCCAGGTAATTCTGATATGCCCAGGTTGGAGAATCATTACTGTAAGCTAGTAGTTCTCAAAGTATTTGAGTCCCAGGACCAGCAGGATCAGCATCCCTGGGAACTTGTTAGGAATATAAATTTGGGGCCCTTCTCCAGACCCATTGAGTCAGAAATTCAACAGGGTGGGGCGCAGCAATCTCTGTTTTCTATATGGCCCCTGGGTGATTCTGAGCATTCCAGAGTTTGAGAACCCTGCTCTAAACCAACTGACAGTGGGCAAAATCTTTGAGCCCTTGGGGCCTACTTTATGTTTACAAGGAGGGGTGTGAGCTGGATAATCATGGCTCTGTTATCCTGCCAGCTTCCCCTGAGGTAGAAGGTGGATGATGCAGGCTCCAGAACAGCATTATCCACACTTGCCTAGGAGTCTAGGGATGTGGAGGGACTGTCGCCTCTGCTGTAAGACATTACCTCTCTTTAAAGTCATCTGCTCCGGCCTGGATAGTTTCTGTCTGCAGCATGAGCCGGGCATTTTCCAAGACTGCCTCACCCACCTAGAGCGATCACACACACCAAAGGAGACAAGGTCACTGGGAGCGTCAAGATCACTTACCACCATGACTTGTGTTAGGCACAGAGGCTCTGGGGGACCTCAGAGAACCTTTCTTACAGCAAATATTTGTGGAATTAAGATGTCCCTCTCTTTGGACAATGGTCAGGGTGGGGGGATATAAATAATAAGGCATAAAATCTGGATATCTTCTAAGAGTTTTTAGAGTGGGATTTTTGGCACAAAAAGACTATTCAAAGGCAGACTTGTTCATAGCCTCTGTCACAGTGACAAGCTTTCATCTCTCCAGGGCAGAGTCCGGCTCCTTAGATGAAGTTTCACTGGCTTTGCCTAGCAGCTCTTAAAATTTCTGGTCATGGATGCCTTTGGAAGGCTGGTGAAAGCTCTAGATGAGTGCTGAGAGAGCTTCCTGTGACGGTGGAAATGCTCTGTCTGCACTGTCCAGCATGGTGGCCACCCGTGGCTACCGTATTGGGCAGCGTGGCTCTAGAGTTTCGTCTCCCCCAAAACATACACGTGAACATAAACATTGTGGATATAGTTTAGGGGTTTCATGGAGCCTTGAGGAGTGGTTTTTCAAACTTGAATCCCCAAGCCTCTCAGGATCTCCCACAGGTAGGGAATGAGGGGTGTCCTCCCTTCAACCCAAGAAACTCCTTTATATATATATATATATATATATATATATATATATATATATATATATATATATATATATATATATATATAAATGGTGAGCTGAAGGCTCTGATAGGGGGAGCCTGCAGGGTGGAGCCAAATCCCAGCTATGGGAGAAGAAAATAACTGCTTTCCCCTTGCTCCAGTGTGGCTGTCTTATTTTGTTTCATTTCATTGAATTACTTTTTTTGTTTTTTCTTTGAGACAGAGTCTTGCTTTGTTGCCCAGGCTGGAGTGCAGTGGCACAATATCTGCTCACTGCAACCTCTGCCTCCCAGATTCAAGATATTCTCGTGCCTCAGCCTCCTGAGTAGCTGGGATTACAGGCATGTGCCACTGCGCCCAGCTAATTTTTGTATTTTTAATAGAGATGGGGTTTCACCATGTTGGCCAGGCTGGTCTCGAACTCCTGACCTCAAATTATCCACCCATCTTGGCCTCCCAGAGTCCTGGGGTTACAGGTGTAAGCCACCAAACCCTGCCATTTTCATTGAATTCCCCACTAGCAAAGCTAATCATTTCTGTTCCAGCTTGGCCTGGGGCACACTGGGGAGCAGGCAGACTAGGGTGTCTCCCTTTCCCAGTTCTTAATCACTCCTGTCTCTCACCTCTGGTGCCTGGAGTTCTCCTTCTGGTTGATAAAGAACTTGCAACTCATTCACATTTAAGTATCAAAGGACTAATATTGGCTTAAAATAGTGATTTATATCCTTCTTTTAAGGTAACAATTCCTACCCTCCAAAATTAAAGCTTATAGAAAACCTATGTACAGTTGTCCTTTGGTATCTATGGGGTCTTGGTTCCAGTCCCCCACGGATGCTCAAGTCTCTTATATAAAATGATGTAGTATTTGCATATAACCTACACACACATCCTTCCATATACTTTAAATCATCTCAAGATTACTTATGATACCCAATACAATGGAAATGCTATGTACATAGTTGTTATTTATTGTGTTATTTAGAAAATAATGACAAGAAAAAAGCCCACATGTTCAGTATAAACGCAATCATCTATTTTTTAAAAAATATTTTGATCTACAGTTGGTTGAATCCATGGATGTGGAACCCATGGATGTGAAGGACTGACTGTACTTTGCACTAGTGGTTCTCAAAGTGTGGGCCCTGGACCAGTGGCAGCAGCATCACCTGGGAACTTGTGAGAAATGCACTTTTCAGCTCCTGTTTCAGATGGACCTATCAGAATCTCTGCAGGTGGGTCCCAACAATTTGTGTCTCAGCAAGCTTTCCAGGGGCTTATGATGCATACTCAACCTTGAGAACCCCGGTTTCACATGGCCCTGCCCCCAGGCCTGCTCTAGCTGCCTCCCTGCTGCACCTGGAATCCCTCTGTGCCTTTGCACCTGCTGCCTCCATTGAGAGCAACTTGTTTCACTACCTCCCCACTCCCAGCCCTCAGTCTGAGAAAGCCTGCTCCAGTATAATGCTCATTTCAAACACGGCTTCCCCATGAAACTTTTCTATTTATTCACTCATTCATTCTTGCCTTAATTTCTTCAGCACATAATTACTGTTTATGCCAGGCTCTGTCCTGTTTGTTGAGAAACCAGCCGCTACTGTAGGAGATGAGGTTAAAAAGGTAGACAAGACCAGACCATAGAGGGAAGGCCTTGGGCACAATGGAAAGGAGTTGAGATTTACTGGGAAGCCTTTGAAAGGGCTTGAGCAGGTTACAGAGGTGATCTGTGCACTAAGTGGACCCTCTGACTACTGTGGGAAGAGAGGATTGGAGGAGGCAGGAGAAGATGCCAAAGAACCAGTCGGGAGGCTCTTGCGGTGGTCCAGGGAGCCCATTTTATTAATGATGGTGGCCTGGACGAACGATGTGATCATAGGGTAGGTGGAAAAATGTGGACTAGTTTAAGATGCATTTGGGGGATAGAACAGTCGGTTCTTTGTGGTGCAGTAGTTATGGGGAGAGTGAGGGAAAACAATTAGGGGTGACCGCTCCGTTTCATCCTGAGCTGTAGAGAGCATGGTGGGGCCTTTGCTGATTCTCTTCCTCCCTCATTGGCTGGTTCCTGCATCTGAGTCACAGCCCACCCCTGTGGCACATTATCCCTCTCTTACCACATTTAGTATAAATACTTTGTAGACAACGACAGTGTTTTCTTATTCTGGAAACTGGCTCCTCCATTCACAAGCATGGGTCAGTTGCTTAGAGTAAGTAATTCTAAGATTTGGTTTCCTCCCCCATAAAATGAAGATAATAATACTCCCTTCCTCCTGGGAGAATTAAATGAGCCAAGGTGTGTGAGACTCAGCGTATGTGTGACTCAGCAGATTGCCTGGCACAGAGTAAATATTGCATGAACGGTAGCCATTATCATCATTGTTATTTGTCTTTGTACAAAGCAGTTGTTCAATGAATGTCGAATGAATTTGATGGGTTTGTGCAGTCTGGCACTGATCCTGCTTTACTTTTCTGAAGTGCACAGGCAGTTGAATGAAGACTTCCATCTAGTGGCTTGATATATATATATGTATATATATACATATATATTTTTTTCCTTTGTTTTTCCTGTCCATAGTCATCTGAAAAGTCCTAGTCATTTGTACCATGATGGTGAGGACTTTATCTCTTTCTATAATACTACTCCTGTTTTCACTGCGGATGTAGTTATTAAAATAAATGAGCTGGTGGTGGTGGATGAGAGATTTGACCATCATTGTGTTAAAGGAAAGGCAAATACAAGCAGCGTTTTAAAAAAGGTTATCATTTGGGCCCAAGGGTACAATGAATGGTTTGTTTGGAGTAAAGATATTGGCATTCTGGCAGCTAGAGCTGCAGGTGTGGGGAGGAGGTGGGTAAGACTGAGCTCCTGGGAAATTAAACTCAGCTGGTGCAGTGGCAAGATGCAAGATTCCCTTGGAAACCCTTCCCACATTTATTTGACTTTCAAGTTTAGGATGGATGTTCAGCATAACTTGCTTCTAGCAATAAAGGAATGAGAAATAATTCTCAGTCCCTAGCACCCCAGTGATACTGCTCTTAATAACAAGGCCACCGTATTACCAAGCCCGGCAGATGCTTCTCTGTGCTCATATTGACCTGCTGGTTGCATTTGTCACAGATGTACTTTTCTGTCTCGGCTTCCATGACACCACTCTCTCTGGACTTCCTCCTACTTCATTGACCATTCTTTCTTATTATTCTCTGCTTCACCAGGTTTTTCTTCCTTATCTGACCTCTAAATGTTAAAGTTTTTCAAGATTGGGTCTTGGTGCTTCTTTTTTTTAATCACTAAATGGTCTGATCTATCCACACAGATTTAAATGGCATTGTATGTGCTAATGACTTTCACATTTAAATGTCTATCTCAGAACTTTCTGCTCAGCTCCACACTTGCATACTCACCCTCTCTTTGAGGTCTTCACTTGGCTATTTCTCAGACATCTCAAACTTAACATGTCCCCGAATGAAAATCTAGATAATTTTGGCCGGGTGCGGTGGCTCACGCCTGGAATCCCAGCACTTTGGGAGGCTGAGGTGGGTGGATTACCTGAGGTCAGTTGTTCCAGACCAGCCTGGCCAACATAGTGAAACCCCTGCCTCTACTAAAAATACAAAAAATTAGCTGGGCGTGGTTGCACGCACCTGTAATTCCAGCTATTTAGGAGGCTGAGGCAGGATCATGGCTTGAACCCAGGAGGCAGAGGTAGCAGTGAGCTGAGATCGCACCACTGCACTCCAGCCTGGGCAACAAGAGTGAAAATCCATTAAAAAAAAAAAAAAGAAAATCTAGATAATTTCCCCACAAATCTTCCCTTTCCCCACCACCCCTTGATCCTCTTCATCTCAGTAAACAACCCCAATGTCTACCCGGAAACCAAGGGATCATCTTGATCTCTCACTTTCTGTCATCTCCCACATCTCATTTATCACTGAGTCTAGTCAATTCTACCCCCACAATGTATCTCAAATCCATTTATTTCTCTCTACCTCTCTTGACATCACCCTAGTGCAAGTCCCCATCATGCTCTCCTATCCCATTATAATATCCCATTGTAATATCCTTCCAACTCCCTGATCTGTACCTCCCTCCTCCAATGCATTCTGCATCCTGCTTCCAGAGTGGGCTTTTTAAACTCTTAAAATCATATCATGTCACTCTGATTAAACTAAATTAAAACTCTTCAGAGGGGCTAGGTGTGGTGGTTCACGCCTATAAGCCCAGCACTTTGGGAGGACAGGGTGGGTGGATTGCTTGAGCCTAGAAGTTTGAGACCAGCCTGGGCAACATAGCAAAACCCTATCTCTCCAAAAAACAAAACAAAACAAAAAAACAGAATTTATCCAGGTGTCATGATGTGCACCCACAGTCCAGCTACTTGGGAGACTGATGTGGGAGGATCTCTTGAGGCCAGGAGGTCGAGGCTGCAGTGAGCTATGATTGCACCACTGCACTCCAGCCTGAGAGACAGAGTGAAAGTGAAAGCCCATCTCAGAACAAAAACAACACACAAAACAAAACAAAACTCTATAGAAGTGTCTCTTATACTTAGAGTAAAACCCAGTCTTCTGAAGTGGCCTTCAAGGCCCTGCATGCTTGTTACTCTTCCATTGCTCCAAAGGCTCCAGCCATGTGGGTCTTGGTCTTTCTGGACCATACCAGTCCCTCTCCTGCTCAAGGCCCTAGCACTTGCCGACTCCCCTGCCTGGCCCACTCCTCCCTTCCCCTTTGCATGAATAGCTCCCTCATTCTGGTCACCTTACTGCGAGCAGTGCTTCCCTTTACTCTGCCCCTTTCTGCTTTGTTAGTTTTCTTTAAAACACTTACCAAAGCTTGTATTATCAATTTTATGGTTTTTAAATTATTTTATCTGTATTTTCTGCTAGAATATAACCTCCTGGAAGTCAGGCACTGCCTTTCTGTCCTGTTTGTTGTTCCATCCCTAGCACAGTGTCTGGTACAGCAGGTATTAGTTGAATTAATGAGCCCAGCAGTAGTGCTACCTCTTTATGGAGAACCCAAGCAGGGAAGACCCAGTGCCTACCCTCAGGGAACAGCCAGGTTCTTACCTAGCTCCAACCTGAGAATCACCTTAAACATCTCTCTCTTCCTCATCCCCCAAGTCAAAAACCAACAATTCCCCAAGTAGATGTGCCCAAATCCATTCCCACTCCATTATCCAGCTTGGTTCAAGTCCTAATCATCTCTTTTCTGGTTTAACCTGATAGTTGTTACCTGGGGACAAAAACTAAGAAGCCCAAGCACAGTGAGTTAAGATTGCATCTGAGGCCGAGTGCAGGGGCTCACACCAGTGGCTCAGGGGATTACGAAGTATAATCCTAGCACTTTGGGAGGCCCAGGCAGACGGATCACCTGAGGTCAGGAGTTCGAGACCAGCCTGGCCAACATGGCAAAACCCAGTCTCTACTAAAAATACAAAAATTAGCCCGGCGTGGGTGTGCCTGTAATCCCAGCTACTCAGGAGGTTGAGGCAGGAGAATTGCTTGAACCTGGGAGGCGGAGGTTGCAGTGAGCCGAGATGGCGCCATTGCACTCTAGCCTGGGCAACAAGAGCAAAACTCCCTCAAAAAAAAAAAAAAAAAAAGATTGCATCTGAAAGTGAATTTAGGGGAAATGTCTTCAAGTAATGGAGAAGTCTAGCCATCTCTTGAGACAGTTCACTCACAAGCACAGTCACAGCCACTGGGTGTCCAAGGAGAATGAGAGACATCTGAGGGCTAAGGTTGGATTTCACTCTGGAAGCCACAATACACTTCTGAGCCTGTACTGTAAATAAACCCTGACTTCATCAGACTATGCTGTGGCTGGGAAGGAACGTCATTGTAGAGGGGCCAGATGAGCATGCAGTGAGAAGCTAGAACTGCTGGCCGGGGTTTATTTGCCATTGTTGGGCAAACAGGATCACCTTGGCCCCTAGAAGTCTGTCATGCTGAGGACAAAGTGTTTTAGGCTCCTCTTTCCCTGGAAGCCTCTCTGTCCCCCCAAGTTCTGATTCTGGGCCCACCTAGACTTCCACCTCCAGCAACCTCAGAAATACGAGGGCTTGCTTTGGATAGTAGGCATCAGTGCTGGTCACTAAAGAGGTTTAACCCCTACCATATATAGGGTTTAAACCCTACCATTTATAACACAGTCCTGGTTGTTTATGTCAGATGAGTTTGTTGTGAGACAGCCCTTTAGGGCTTAATTTTCTCCAGATGCCCCAACAAAATCAAATTTTGAGCCCCAGGCACATCCAGATACAGTGATTCTGACGGGGATCTATTTAGACAGCCAGCATCTCCTGCTGATATGGTTGGTTGTATCCCCACCCAAATCTCATCTTGAATTGTAGCTCCCATAATCCCCACGTGTTGTGGGAGGGACCTGGTGGGAGATAATTGAATCATTGAATCATGGGGGTAGGTTTTCCCGTGCTATTCTCATGATAGTAAGATAGTAAGTCTCACACAATCTGATGGCTTTATAAAGGGAAGTTCCCCTGCACATGGTCTCTTGCCTGCCACCATGTAAGATGTGCCTTTGCTCCTCCTTTGCCTTCTGCCATGATTGTGAGGCCTCCCCAGCCGTGGGGAACTGTGGGTTCATTAAACCTTTTTTCTTTATGAATTACCCAGTCTCAGGTATTTCTTCACAGCAGTAGGAAAATGGACTTATACTCCCTCTGTGACATTGCTTTCTCTCTCTCTCTCTCTGTCTGTCTCTGCTTTCTAACCTCTCACCCTCTCCCTTTCTACTGGAATGAACTTACTCAGATGCAGATTGGAACTCATGTTTTGAACTCATGTTTTATTTGAAGCTGTGCTCCGGAATGAACCTTCCCATGTCCCCTTGTCCTATGAAGTCTGTAGCCTGGGGCACAATTTGGACCTTGCTCTTCAGTCTAGTTTTATTTTTCCCTCACTCCCCAACCATGAACTGAGTTACTTTTCTGAACAGACTCAGGCCTTTCTAGCTTCCAGACCTTGACTCCTGCTGCTACCTCGGCATGTCATGGCAGACTGCCTCCTACTTTCCTTTGTCTGGTGAACTCCTATCCATCCTTCAAACCCTGGCTCAGGCTGTGCTAGGTATCCTCAGTACTCCCCATACTCACTGTGGTATATCAATCTCTGCAGTTTTTATGCTGCATGTTATTCTGATCTTTTCCTGCCTTTCTCCATCACTGATTTGTGTGACCTTGGATCAGGGACAGTCTCTCATCTCTGCTTCCTTAGCACCCAGTTCAGTGCCTGGCACATAGGTGCTCAATAAATGTTTGTTAACAGAATAGACTAAGCAAGCTAGCTGAGGAGAGAAATATAACACTAAACAACAGCAAACACATAAGGCAGAAAATAGAGGTACAGAACAAATATAAGATGCCTGAGAAGCAGAATTCACATTTTACAGCCAAACCTTCTTTATAAAAACCCCGCATAGAAGCAACAAAACAGACCAAACCAAAATATTTTTTAAAGCACTTACTACACTTATGCCACAGTCAGCCCTTCACAGGCATAATCTCATTTCATCCCTACATCTGAAGTAAGTGGTCACACTAAGTGGGTGAACAGCAGTTACTTCCATTATGTGATGAGGAAACTCAGTCTCAGAGAGTTTAAGTAACTTGCCCACATTGCTAAGTGGCTCAGCTAGAACTTAACTCACACCTGTCTGACCTCACAGACTGTGCTTGTTTTAAAAAATATCCTTTTAACTATGGGAAATTTCAACTATGTATAACTATATATAAAGGTAGAAAGAGTCTAGAATAATGACCCCCCCATCCCTCCACTTCAGCAATTGAAGTATCATGGCTAAATTTTACAATCTCTACCTACCAGCTTCCACCCCATCTGGGAGGCTATTATGCATATATCACTTGGAAAATCTGTAAATATTTCAGTAGTCCTTGCTCTATTTTGTAGTTCTTCTATTTTAATTTTAAAATTATTCAAGTGATAATTTAATTATCACCTGATTTAAAAAGTTAAACAGCACTGAAGACCTTCTAGAGACCAACATTTCCCTGACCCACACTTTCCTCTCCCCGCACCCTGCTGTCAGCACTTTCACCTTTTCTTTTTTCTTTTTTTGTTTTGTTTCTGAGATGGAGTCCCACTCTGCCACCCAGGCTGGAGTGCAGTGGTGTGATCTCAGCTCACTGCAACCTCTGCCTCCCAGGTTCCAGAGATTCTCCTGCCTCAGCCTCCTGAGTAGCTGGGATTAAAGGCATGTGCCACCACACCCAGCTAATTTTTGTAATTTTGTATTTTTAGTAGAGATGGGGTTTCACCATGTTGGCCAGGCTGGTCTCGAACTCCCAACCTCAGGTGATCCGCCTGCCTTGGCCTCCCAAAGTGCTGGGATTAAAGGCATGAGCCACCGTGC
Organism: Homo sapiens; assembly: GCF_000001405.40. Lineage (NCBI taxonomy): Eukaryota > Metazoa > Chordata > Mammalia > Primates > Hominidae > Homo > Homo sapiens. The sequence continues at coordinate 133,438,250 of NC_000003.12, read as the reverse complement.
CTGGCCTTACTGTTTCTTTCATCCAGAGCCTGCCCACATATTTCTTGATTGCTCAAGTTATCTGCCACAGACATCGTTTACTGACTTCTAGCTGACAAATGAATATTTAACTTACTCACCCTCCACCTCCCTTTCCCTTTACTGGCTGTTTTGATCACTTTAAATAATAGAACTCTATTTCTTGTATCAACTATAGACAGTTTCCTCCTCATACTCACACTTTCTCTCTTATAATCTCAGATGTTTTATTTTCTAAGGTCAAAACGGAAGACAAAAAATCAGTTTAATTACTATGCTACTCTGCTGATGCTTCTGTGAAATATAGGTCCTTTCTGCTAAGAATTACGATGTAGGTGCCCCTGGCTGTCAGAAGCTATGGGCGGGTAGCCAAATCATTGTTTTGCTTCCCCACTGAGCATTCTCAGGCCTGCAGAATAATGCCAGCTATTTGATTATTTTTCACGGTGCTCCCTCTCCAGGGCAGGCCTGTAAAACCCATGCTCAGCCATCTTCCATTACCCCCATGTTTGAATCATGGTTCTAATGTTAAATAGCTCAGTTCCTTTTTCTTTCTTTTTCTTTCTTTCTTTCTTTCTTCCTTTCTCTCTCTCTTCTTTCTTTTTCTCTTTCTTCTTTCTTTTTTCTTTCTTCTCCTTCCTTCCTTCCTTCTTTCCTTCCTTTCGTTTGTTTTCATTTTTTTGGTTTTTGTTTGTTTGTTTTGTTTTTTGAGACTGAGTTTCGCTCTTGTTGCCCAGGCTGGAGTGCAATGGCGTGATCTCGGCTCGCCGCAACCTCCACCTCCTGGGTTCAAGCAATTCTCCTGCCTCAGCCTCCTGGGTAGCTGGGATTACAGGTATGTGCCACCATGCCCGGCTAATTTTGTATTTTTAGTAGAGACAGGGTTTCTCCATGTCGGTCAGGCTGGTCTCGAACTTCCAACCTCAGGTGATCTGCCTCCTTGGCCTCCCAAAGTGCTGGGATTACAGGTGTGAACCACTGTGCCCAGCCCTCAGTTCCTTTTCTTATAAAATTGAGCTGCTTTGCCTAGTTCAACCATTGTGGAAGACAGTGTGGCAATTCCTCAAGGATCTAGAACTAGAAATACCATTTGACCCAGCCATCCCATTACTGGATATATACCCAAAGGATTATAAATCATGCTGCTATAAAGACACATGCACACGTATGTTTATTGTGGCACTATTCACAATAGCAAAGACTTGGAACCAACCCAAATGTCCAACAATGATAGACTGGATTAAGAAAATGTGGCACATATACACTATGGAATACTATGCAGCCATAAAAAAGGATGAGTTCATGTCCTTTGTAGGGACATGGATGAAACTGGAAACCATCATTCTCAGCAAACTATTGCAAGGACAGAAAACCAAACACCACATGTTCTCACTCATAGGTGGTAACTGAACAATGAGGACACTTGGACACAGGATGGGGAACATCACACACCAGGGCCTGTAGTGGGGTGGGGGAAGCGGGGAGGGATAGCATTAGGAGATATACCTAATGTAAATGACAAGTTAATGGGTGCAGCACACCAACATGGCACATGTGTACATATGTAACAAACCTGCACGTTGTGCACAGGTACCCTAGAACTTAAAGTATAATAATAAAAAATAAAATTGAGCTGCTTTGTCTTGACAGTACCAGGTGCATAGTAAGCCAAACAAGTCAAACCCAAATGCTTTTTAAGCACTTGTTATGTATTATGCCATGGCAGTTCCTCACTAGAGAGAGCTTATGCTCTCTCTTGTTTGTGATAGAAAAATTGGAAGCAACCTATGCCTATCAACAGAAAAAGTCATAACCTATCATATAGACAAGGAACCTTCAATAAATTCATGGAAAAAAATGTGTATTATGAAAAAACAATACATAGATTTTTTTTTTTTTTTTTTTTTGAGACAGAGTCTCTCTCTGTCACCCTGGCTGGAGTGCAGCAAAGAGAACTTGGCTCACTGCAAGCTCCACCTCCTGGGTTCAAGGTATTCTTGTGCCTCAGTCTACCCAGTAGCTGGGACTACAGGCACACGACACTGCACTCAGCTAATTTTTTGTATTTTTAGTAGCAATGGCCTCAAGTGATCCACCTGCCTCGGCCTCCAAAAGTGCTGAGATTACAGACATAAGCCATCGTGCCCAGCCTAAATTTCAAATTTTTTTGCACCAAAATAAACTCATACTAAGTTCTTATATCTGAACAGAATAGTTCAGAATCAGATATAAGAGGCACTAAGAAGTATAAGACATCAGTTTGGAAAGAGCCCCTATCATAGCAACATGAATTCAGAAAAAATTAAAGCAAGAGAAAACATCAAATTTGTGGTGAAGCTTGAGTAGAAAAATAATGAAATCATGGGAGCTTTATGAAAAGTTTATGGGGACAATGCCCTAAAGAAATCAGCAGTTTACAAATGGATAATTCATTTAAGAAAGAATAAAATGATGTTGAAGACGAAGGCCATAGCAGCAGACAATTTGCAAGGGAAAAATTCATCTTGTACATGCCCTAATTGAAGAGGACCAATTATTGATCGCAGAAAGAATAGCTGACACCATAAACATATCCATTGGTTCAGCTTACACAATTCTGACCGAAAAATTAAAGTTAAGCGAACTTTCCACTTAATGGGTGCCAACACTGTTTTGCCCAGCTCAGCCGCAGACAAGAGCAGAGTTTTCAATGGAAATTTTAAACATGTGAGACCAAGATTCTGAAGCATTTCTTCAAGGAATTGTAACAAGAGATGAAACATAGCTTTACCAGTACAATCCTGAAGACAAAGCACAATCAAAGAAATGGCTAGCAAATGATGGAAGGGGTCCGGTCATAGCAAAGAGAGACAGGTCAAGAGCAAAGGTCATGGCAACAGTTTGTGATGCTCAGGGCATTTTGCTTGTTGACTTTCTGGAGGGCAAAAAATGACAACATCTGCTTATTATAAGAGTGTTTTGAGAGTTAGCTAAAGCATTAGCAGAAAAACACCTGAGAAAGCTTCACTAGAGAGTCCTCCATCATGACAAATGCTTCTGCCCATTCCTCTTATTGAATAATGGCAATTTTGCAAGAGTTTCAGTAGAAAATCATTAGGCGTCCACCTTACAGTCCTGATTTGGCTCCTTCTGGCTTCTTTTTGTTTCCTAATCTTAAAAAATCTTTAAAGGGCACTCATTTTTCTTCAGTTAATAATGTGAAAAGACTGCACTAACATTGCTAAATTCCCAAGGCCCTCAGTTCTTTAGGGATGAACTAAATGGCTGCTATCATTGCTTACAAAAGTGTCTTGAACTTGATGGAGCTGTTTATTTCACCTGGGTGCAGGTGGGCTGAGTCCGAAAAGAGTCAGCGAAGGGAGATAGGGGTGGGGCCGTTTTATAAGATTTGGGCAGGTAAAGGAAAATTACAGTCAAAGGGGGTTTGTTCTCTGGTGGGCAGGAGTGGGGGTCACAAGGTGCTCAGTGGGGTAGCTTTTTGAGCCAGGATGAGCCAGGAAAAGGACTTTCACAAGGTAATGTCATCACTTAAGGCAAGGACCGGCCATTTACACTTGTTTTGTGGTGGAATATCATCAGTTAAGGTGGGGCAGGGCATATTCACTTCTTTTGTGATTCTTCAGTTACTTCAGGCCATCTGGGCATATACATGCAAGTCACAGGGGTTGCGATGGCTTGGCTTGGGCTCAGAGGCCTGACATTCCTGCCTTCTTATATTAATAAGAAAAATAAAATGGTGTTGAAGTGTTGGGGCGGCGAAAATTTTTGGGGGGTGGTATGGAGAGAGAGAATGGGCGATGTTTCTCAGGGCTGCTTCGAGCGGGATTAGGGGCTGCGTGGGAACCTAGAGTGGGAGAGATTAAGCTGAAGGAAGATTTTTGTGGTAAGGGGTGATATTGTGGGGATGTTAGAAGAAACATTTGTCGTGTAGAATTATTGGTGATGGCCTGGATACGGTTTTGTATGAATTGAAAAACTAAATGGAATAAGAGAAGGAGAAAAACAGGTATAAAAGGTCTAAGAATTGGCAGGACCTAGGACATCTGATTAGTGAGTGCCTAAGGAGATTCAGCATAGTCCTGCCAGCAAAAATTATTTATTTACTTCAAGAGTTTAGAGTGGCGGTTTGGGAATAGCACCAAGAGATATCAGCTGTGATGGCTTGGAGAAACAGTGTAAACTGGCAGTGTAAACAAGAGCAGGGCATGTATGAGTAGTTGAGAACGGTGAATAGGAGTATGATTAGACAGAAGATAGGGATGACAAGTTTTTTGGGGCACAGTCTAAGTTGGTCTGGTGTCTGGAAAGAGACTGGGGCCTAATAAAAAGGAGCGTCTATACGGGAGCTTAAATGGGCTGTACCTTGTAGCATTCCGAGGACAGGCCTGAATTCTGAGAAGCGAAAGTGGTAAAAGTATTGTTCAGTCCTTTTTAAGTTGCTGGCTGAGCTTGGTGAGGTGTGTTTTTAATAGACCGCTAGTCTGTCACTGAATACTAAGAGCCTGAAAAAATGCTTGGCTGATTTGACTAATAAAGGCTGGTCTGTTATCAGAATGTATAGAGGTGGGAAGGCTAAACTGAGGAATTATGTCTGACAGAAGGGAAGAAATGACTGCGGTGGCCTTCTCAGACCCTGTAGGAAAGGACTCTACCTATCCAGTGAAAGTGTCTACCTAGACTAAGAGGTAGTTTAGTTATCTGACTCGGGGCTTTGAGTAAAGCTAATTTGCCAGTCCTGGGTGGGGGCAAATCCTCGAGCTTGATGTGTAGGAAAGGGAGGGGGCCTGAATAATCCCTGATGAGTAGTAGAACAGCAGATGGAACACTGAGAAGTTATTTCCTTGAGGATAGATTTCCACAATGGAAAGGAAATGAGAGGTTCTTAAGAGGCAGGCTAGTGGCTTGTACTATAGCATAGCCTGCCTTTGCTGGTGTGTGGCGATTAGGCCTGGTGGAACTGCCATCAAAAAACTAAGTGTGATCAGGGTGAGGAACAGGAAAGAAGCAAATATGGGGAAATGGGATGAATGTCAGGTGGATCAGAGAGATACAGTCATGGGGGTCAGGTGTGGTATCAGGAATAATGTGGGAGGCCAGATTGAAGTCCTGGCCAGGAACAATAGTAATTGTGGGACTTAACAAAGAGTGAGTACAGCTGAAGGTGCCGGGGAGCAGAAAGTATATGTGTCAGGTATGAGGAAGAAAATCGATTTTGGAAGTTATGAGAAATGTAGAGAGTGAGTTGAGCATAGTTTGTGATTTTGAGGGCCTCTAAAAGTATTAAAGCAGCGGCAGCCGCTGCACGCGGACATGAGGGCTAGGCTAAAACAGTAAGGTCAAGTTGTTTGGACAGAAAGGCTGCAGGATGTGGTCCTGGCTCTTGTGTAAGAATTCTGACCGCGCTAACCATGCCTAGGAAGGAAAGGAGTTGTTGTTTTGTAGAAGGTGCTGGGGTTTGAGAGATTAGTCGGACACGATCGGCAGGGAGAGCACGTGTGTTTTTATGAAGAATTATGCCGAGGTAGGTAACCGATGGAGAAGAAATTTGAGCTTTGGAGGGGGATACTCGATATCCTTTGGAGAATAAATGCTGAAGGAGCAGAGGTGTGTCTTGTTGAGAAGATTCAAAGGAGGGGCTACAAAGAAGAAGATCATCAATATATTGAATAAGGTGAGAAGCAGAGGGGTGGAAAGAAAGTAAATCATGAGAAAGAGCTTGGCTGAAGTAATGAGAGCTGTCCCTGAAACCTTGTGGCAGCACAGCCCAGGTAAGCTGCTGGGACTGATGGGTGTCAGCGTCAGTCCAGGTGAAAGCAGAGAGAGGCTGGGACGAGGGGTGCAGGGGAATAGTGAAAAAAGCATCTTTAAGATCAAGAACGGAATAGTGAGTTGTGGAGGAAGGTATTGAGGACGAAAGGGTGTACCGGTTGGGCACCACAGGGCGGATAGGCAAAACAATTTGGTTGATAAGGCGCAGATCCTGAACTAATCTGTAAGACTTGTGCGGTTTTTGGACAGGTAAAATGGGGGAATTGTAAGGAGAGTTTATAGGTTTTAGAAGCCCATGCTGTAGCAGGCGAGTGATAACAGGCTTTAATCCCTTTAAAGCGTGCTGTGGGATGGGACATTGGCGTTGAGAGGGGTAAGGGTGATTAGGTTTTAATGGGATGGTGATGGGCATGTGATCGGTTGCCAGGGAAGGAGTAGAGATGTTCCATACTTGTGGGTTAAGGTGGGGGGATATGAGAGGAAGACGCAAAGGAGGCTTTGGGTTGGGGAGAAGGGCGGCAATGAGATGCGGCTGTAATCCAGGAATAGTCAGGGAAGCAGATAATTTAAAGTGTCTCGGCCTAATAAGGGAACGGGGCAGGTGGGGATAACTAAAAAGGAGTGCTTAAAAGGGTATTGTCTAAGTTGGCACCAGAGTTGGGGAGTTTTAAGAGGTTTAGAAGCCTGGCTGTCAATACCCACAACAGTTATGGAGGCAAGGGAAATAGACCCTTGAAAAGAAGGTAATGTGGAGTGGGTAGCCTCGTATTGATAAGAAGGGGATGGACTTACCCTCCGCTGTGAGAGTTACCTAAAGCTCGGCGTCCGTGATGGTCTGCGGGGCTTCTGAGGCGATCGGGCAGCATCAGTCTTCAGCCGCTAAGCCAAGAAGGAGTCAGTCAGAGAGCCTCGGGCCAGAGTTCCAGGGGCTCTGGGAGTGGCTGCCAGGTGAGTTGAACAGTCCGATTTCCAGTGGGGTCCCGCACAGATGGGACACGGCTTAGGAGGAATCCTGGGCTGCGGGCATTCCTTGGCCTGGTGGTCAGATTTCTGGCACTTGAAGCAAGCTCCTGGGGGAGGAGGTTCTGGAGGAACGCCTGGCTGCTGCGGTTCAGGTGTTTGGAAGTTCTTGTGTGCTGGAGATGTGGCTGGGATTTGTCTCAGAGTGGAGGCAAGGAATTGCAACTTTTTTCTATTATTGTACACCTGGAAGGCGAGGTTAATTAAATCCTGTTGTGGGGTTTGAGGGCCGGAATTTAATTTTTGGAGTTTTATTTAATGTCAGGAGCAGATTGGGTAATAAAATGTATATTGAGAATAAGACGGCCTTTTGACCTTTTAGGGTCTAGGGCTGTAAAGCGTCTCAGGGTTGCTGCCGAACGAACCATGAACTGGGCTGGGTTTTTTATATTTGATGAAAAAGAGCCTAAACGCTATCTGATTTGGGGTAAAGAAAAAGGAGCATTAACCTTGACTATGCCTTCAGCTCCAGCCACCTTTTTAAGAGTAAATTGCTGGGCAGGTGGGGGAGGGCTAGTCACGGAATGAAACCATAAGCCGGACCAGGTGTGAGGAGGGGAGGTGATAAAAGGAGCGGACCAGGGTGGAGGAGCGGAGGCTGAGGAAGAATTGGGACCTAGCTCGGCCTGGTGAGGAGGGGAGAGGTCAGATGGGTCTGTAGAAAAGGAAGATTAGAAAGACTCAGCGACGCTTGGGGTTGGGACTGAGGGGACAGGCGGGAGGGAAAGAAGGAAGATTTGGGATGAGTTGCATTGGGAACAGAGACTAGAGAGGGACCGATGCGTAAAAGAATGCCTGGACGTCAGGCACCTCAGACCATTTGCCCATTTTATGACAAGAATTATTTAGATCTTGTAGGGTGGAAAAATTGAAAGTGCCGTTTTCTGGCTATTTGGAACTACTGTCGAGTATGTATTGGGGTCAAGCGGCATTGCAGAAGAAAATCAGAGAAATGCAAATCAAAACCACAATGAGATACCATCTCACACCAGTTAGAATGGCGATCATTAAAAAGTCAGGAAACAACAGGTGCTGGAGAGGATGTGGAGAAATAGGAACACTTTTACACTGTTGGTGGGACTGTAAACTAGTTCAACCGTTGTGGAAGTCAGTGTGGCGATTCCTCAGGGATCTAGAACTAGAAATACCATTTGACCCAGCCATCCCGTTACTGGGTATATACCCAAAGGATTATAAATCATGCTGCTATAAAGACACATGCACACGTATGTTTATTACGGCACTATTCACAATAGCAAAGACTTGGAACCAACCCAAATGTCCAACAATGATAGACTGGATTAAGAAAATGTGGCACATATACACTATGGAATACTATGCAGCCATAAAAAAGGATGAGTTCATGTCCTTTGTAGGGACATGGATGAAACTGGAAACCATCATTCTCAGCAAACTATCACAAGGACAAAAAACCAAACACCGCATGTTCTCACTCATAGGTGGGAATTGAACAATGAGAACACATGGACACAGGAAGGGGAACATCACGCACCGGGGACTGTTGTGGGGTGGGGGTAGTGGGGAGGGATAGCATTAGGAGATATACCTAATGCTAAATGACGAGTTAATGGGTGCAGCACACCAACATGGCACATGTATACATATGTAACTAACCTGCACATTGTGCACATGTACCCTAAAACTTAAAGTATAATAAAAAAAAAAAAAGTTTACATTTTGTATTTTTATCTCTTAATTCCATTTTTTTTCCAGGAACATTTTGAAGTCCCCTCATATACAATGAAATGATAGATTTGTCAACACAGATAAATCTCAAAAACACAATAAGTGAAGAAAGTAAGTTGCAGATGGAAATAATATGTGATGGTCAAACAATCTAGATGTTTCCGTGAAGGTGTTTTTGGATGAGACTAACATTGACATTGGTGGACTTTGAGTAAAGCAGGTTGCCTGCGTGCCATAATGTGGGTATTCTCATCCAATCAGTTGCGGGATTTAACAGAGCAAAGACTGAGGTCCCCTGAGAAAATAGGATTCCACCAGCAGACAGCCTTCAGCCTTGAACTGCAGTGTCACCTCTTCACTGGGCCTCCCAACCTGCTGACACTTTGATCTTGGACTTCTAGCCTCCATAACTGTGTGAGCCAATTCCCTAAAATAAATCTCTCTCTGTACACATTCTATGGTTATGTTTCCCTGGAGAACCCTGACTAATACACAGTATAACACAATTTAACATAAAGTTTAAAATAATGCAAAATAGTCCTAGGAAAGGTTTTATACATATGTAGTAAAACTTTCATGGGAGTGGTAAGCACCAAATTTAGGGCAGCAGTGACCTCTGGGGGGGTGGGGGTGGAATTCAATCAGGACAGAGTACAAGGGGAGTTTCAATTATATCTAAAATCTTTGATTTCAGGTTTTAAAAAAAGGTTTTTTAACAAATAACACTGAGTTGACAATGCTGAGTATTAGGTGGCTTTTTATGTGTTAAAAATATTTCATAATTAAGAACAGAATGAGATCGATCGCATAAATAAAATCAACTTGGAAAAGAAAACTAGCACAGTGGCTGATACATCTTGGGACCCTGACAGACACAGGGAGAGACTGGCTGGGACAAGTTTGATGGAGAAGGCAGGTCAGAGCGAGGGCAGGCGGTATGGAAGTGTGGCCTTAGGGAACAGTGGGCGGGGTGACTGCAGAGGTCATGTGGACGCAGTCCCAGTCACCCAGGTGGCTCTCCAACAGGCCCTGCGTGTTTACCCGAAGGTGGCCCTGCACAGACAGTTATCCCCGACTTTCCTCTGACAAGATATTTCCTGGGCACTTGCCAACATCAGAGGAATCTAAGTTCCTCAGAAATTCGCGTGGGACCTGTTGAGGCTTACGGCAGATCACAGGTGCTCCTTTCCTATCCCAGGCGTGGCTGCTGCAGCAGGTACTGTCACTGCTCTGACCCATCCTCTTTTTTTTTTTGGAACTATTTTTTTGTGTCCCCACGTTCCATGTGCATTCACTCCCCACAGCTGGGCCCTGTGGCTCATTTGTGGAGCAGTGCCCTAGGGCCCCAGAGCTTGACTTACTGGCTCTGTCTGACAGCTGGGGGCATGAAAGCCCAGCGCCCTGGCTTGGGGGTGGGGCAGCCCTGAGGTGGCTCCCTTGCTTGGTCTTCCCTCTGTGTCCTGCCTCCCTGCCTCTTGCGGGTTTCTCCAGGAGCACTTCCATACTACGTGGCCCACAAGAGAACCCTAGGCTTGGGCTTTGCGTCTCAGGAATCCAATCTAACATAAGTGTTCTCCTCAGCCTCATGCTTTTCCTCCTGGAAAACCTCAAGGTCAAACTGTTTTGAGCTTTAGTCTGTCGAGAGTGGACCCGGGCATACAGACTCTGGAATCCAACTACCCACGTTAAAGGTTTTGTCTCTATCACTTCAACCTGTGAATCTTGGAAAAGTTATTTAACTGGTGCTGTGTATCAGTTTCCTCATCTATAAAAAGGAATCATACAAGGAATGGCCTCATAGGGTTTTTGTGAGGTTAAATGATTTAAGATGTGCAAAACCCTCAGAACAAATTCTGGCATATAGTATGTGCTCAATAAATTCCAGTTTTCTTAATCTCCACTGGAACTAAGGGACACTTACGGGCAATAAAGGGATAGATATGCTTTACCCCTTGGCCCAGGCTAATGTAACGAAGGGAACAAACTATTCTCTGTTGTCAGAAACATAACCTCAATTGATTCCAGTGGGACGTAATGGACAGTTTAGTGTGTTGTTGCCAGGATGGATGTGTCTGATGTCCTACTGGAAGAATCATGAAAGAATCCTCAACCTTACACTGCCTGAAATGCCACCCCATTCTCCAACCCCAAGCTGGCTGAGGAGCAGGGAGGTGGGATTCTGGTAAGTAGAGGATTAGGAAGGGCAGGGAAATGCTCACTTGATCTTGTGTGAACATCAGCAAAAAGAAGGTATAGGACTCAAAGTGTTAGGCTTGGATTGGGAAACCAAGGTTCAAGTCCTGGCTCTGCTTTTCACCAGACATCGTATTTATCACTGCTGAGCTTCAGTTTCTTTACCTGTAAAAAGGAGGTAATGACACCTGTTCTGCTTATTCTAAAGGGAGGCTGTGAGGATCTAGAGGATACAGCTACGGAGAACATGCTGGGTTCCTTGAGCTGCTAAGCACTGAAGTCCCACCAATGGTGACGAAGGTCTAAGGAGAACATTGCAATTGCACAAAATGATCCTTGGAAATTCTTTAGAAGGGCACCATCTTGGAGACCCAGAATCAATAAAACCAGCATGGCTGGGAGTTTTCTCCAGCATTTGAATAAATTGTTGTTTCTTTGGTTGAACCATGATGAGATAATTGGCTTAAACCAGGAGTCATGCATGGTATCTGGAAACTTCCTCACTTGAATCACCAGCATCATACTCAGCATGCATAATCCTCTCATCATGAGAGGCACAGGGGAAATGAGCCAGCCTGTCTGGAAAGGAAGCAAATGCATGCTTTCCATCTCCCACTCAGTACTGGACATGAAGCTATGTCATCACCACTTAATGCCAGCACCACTTAAATGATGTTTCTCTCTCTCTGCCCTGTACTTGCTGGAGGCACATGCCCATATCACGTAGGGTGTCAGGGCAGAGAGCTCTTAGGAAGAGCTGAGCTGTGGGGACTTCCTCCCACGCAGAAGAGGGAGGCCTCTGCAGAATTCTCTGCCATGTGCTTCTAGGCTTCCTCAACTCAGAAATTTTATTATAGAGTTTTAGAATGTGAAGAGCTCTTGGAAATCATGAAAGATGAAGAATCAAGATGGAAGTTTGATGGCTTGTCCCAGGCCCCAGAGTGGACCCTTTGCTTTTTGGAATCCAACAGCAAGGACTCATGGGAATATCGTGGGATTTGACTTGGAGAGACAGGGCTCAAACCTCATCTTTGTCACTTAGTGATTGTGTAATTCTCTAAAAGTCTATTTGTAGAAAAGGGATAAGGGAGCTTTCTTTCCTGGATTTCAAGATGATTAAAAGAGATGTATGTATAAAGGGATGCTCAGTTGTCTGAGCTGAGATGACTGCAAAGTCACTGCACTCCTCTTACAATGCCTGACAGGTGCTTCCATCTTTGGGAGGTGTGGAGCCCTTGACAGGCACGTCAGCAGGGGGCATTTGGGAGGGCAGCCTGCGAGGGTGAGGGGATGCCAGTGGGCCATACTGCAGAGGCAGAAACTTGGGGGAGGGGTCACAGGCGGTCAACTGAAGAAGGGGCTTGTGCCTGCAGATGCTCCAAGAGGGGAGTCTAAGAGGAATCCAGAAAAGTGTCCCCAAGAGAAAGAATCTGACTTTAATGTTAGCCGGACCCAGATGCTGTGACACTAACTTAAAACAATATCTGACAAGGAAGAGCTTTTTCCCTTCCCTTCCCTTCCCTTCCCTTCCCTTCCTTTCCCTGCCCTGCCCTGCCCTGCCTTCCCCTCCCCCATCCCCTCCCCCTCCCCCTCCCCTCCCTTCCCTTGCCTTCCCTAGCCTTCCCTTGCCCTCCTTTCTCTTATTTCCCTTGCCTTCCCTTCCCTTCTTTATTTCCCTTCCCTTCCCTTCCTTTCCCTTCTTTATTTCCCTTCCCTTCTTTATTTCCCTTCCCTTCCCTTCTTCCCTTCCCTTCCCTTCCCTTTCCCTTTCCCTTTCCCATCCCTTTGTCCTGCTTAGATTTCAACTGGGCTAGAAACAGCCACAGGGAAGTGGGAGTGAGGAGAATAGCAGGAAAGAGAGACGGAACTGACTTCAGCATCCTTGCTAGGTGCTTGGCCCTACCTGGGCAGGGGAGAAAGTGAGGGTTGATATGTTGAATAATATATCAACTGGACATTCTATTTCCTGAGTTGATACTGTTTTGTGGCTTAAAACGAGTGTGATGTTTTTAGTTTCCTGCAAGTGATCAGAAAAATCATGGGACCCTCCATGTTTTCGCCCAGGGGCTGGGAAGAATGTCTACCACCCACTGAGCAAGTTGAAAGGGATCTTGGGAGAGGGCCCTATCAAACCAAAGCTGCATTTGTAACTGTACTTCGTGAGTCCTTCCTGTTTGACCTACGGTTGACATCCATCACGTGCCCAGCACAGTGCTTGGCATGTAACAGGGATGGACCAGTGTGTGGATTTGTTTACACTTCATCCCTTCTAGACCTCCAGGTCCCAGAGTCCAAGAATTTTGGCTCTAATATTTGAACTCCCATAGTGCTTGGTGCATAGTAAGCCCTCATTAAAAATCTCATGAATGACCATAATAAAACCGAAACCTGTGCCAGCCTTATAGTAGCTACCATGACAATGTCATACTGAGAGACTGCTGGTGAGGAAGAAGGCAGGGCCAATGCATGCCACCGTCACCCAGGATTCTGTATTTACACGTGACAGTAGTTACACCCACAGGCTAAGGAGTTGTAGCCTTATCTGTGACACTAACAAAGCCTTTTCCCACTGATTTCATTCTCCTTTAAATTTCAAAGGGATCAGAACCAGGCCAGGCATGGTGGCTCACGCCTGTAATCCAGCACTTTGGGAGGCTGAGCCTAGCGGATCACCTGAGGTTAGGAGTTTGAGACCAGCCTGGCCAACATGGCGAAACACTGTCTCTACTAAAATACAAAAATTAGCGGGGAGTGGTGTTGTGCACCTGTAATCCCTGCTACTTGAGAGGCTGAGGCATGAGAATTGCTTGAATCCAGGAGGCAGAGGTTGAACTGAGCCGAGATTGTGCCAAGGCACTCCAGCCTGGGTGACAGAGTGAGACTCTGTCTCAAAAACAATAACAACAACAATCAAAACAAAAACAAAAAACAAACAAACCCACAAAAGGATCAGGACCATGATGGCAGGTGGAATGATAACTCTCCTTTTCCAGATAAAGCAGCTGGAGGTGGGAGAGATTAGGGACCTGGGCAAAAGTATTTGGTGGGCTGAGACTGGAACTCAGGACCTTTGACTCTAAACTCAAGGTCTGACCTAAGCTCCACAGCAACCCAGAATGCACCTGAAAAAGGAAAGAAACGAGGTTTCTTCTGTCACGAATAGAAGTAGAAGAGAAGGCCGGGCATAGTGGCTCACGCCTGTAATCCCAGCACTTCGGGAGGCCGAGGCGGGTGGATCACGAGGTCAGGAGTTCGAGACCAGACTGACCAAGAAGGCGAAACTCCATCTCTACTAAAAATACAAAAAAAAAAAAAAAAAAAAAAAAAAAAATTAGCTGGACGCGGTGGTAGGCGCCTGTAATCCCAGCTACTTCTGAGGCAGGAGAATCGCTTGAACCCGGGCGGCGGAGGTTGCAGTGAGCCGAGATTGAGCCACTGCACTCCAGCCTGGGTGACAGAGTGAGACTCCATTCCCCGCCGCCCCCGCCCCCGCAAAAAAAAAAAGCAGAAGAGAATAGAAACAGACTAGCTGGTCGATATATGCAAAGTCTCAGGGGAAAATGAAATTTTATGGTTGATTTATAATCCTCAGGAAATTGGGAGTTGTCCTGGAAATTCTGACGTGAAGCGGACGACTGCAGGGCAGTATGAATTGCGTGACTGGCTTCCCAGGATCAAGGTGGCTTTGGCAGTCAGGAGGTGATTATAGGAGTCCAGGGCTTGACACAAAGAACATTTTGCCGCTGAGTGACTAGGTATGTAAGACAGTTCCTAGAGCAGCCAGCAGGTGGCGCCACCTGCCAAGAGAACCAGGTCAGAGGCGGTAGCCCGGGACACCCCTATCTCAAAGGGGCTCTGGCAAATCTGATTTGGCCTGCAGGCCACTCTGAGATCGCTGCCACAAAGTGGAATGCTCCTGAGTCAGCGGGACCATCCCTGTGTAACGTTGTGCAAATGCTCATTCCTACCCCCGCCCCCGCCGCCTCCCCCACCACCCCACCGCCCGCCCCCAAAGTACGGAAAAGTTGGCTGGGCAGGTGATGTCAGAGGGCTGTGTAGTCCATGCGGTTATTATTGTTTTAAGTACTATAAATGATGACGCAGATTACTACCACAGTTTGCCGAATGCTTACCATGGGCAAGCACTATGCTAAGTGTTCTAAGTGAATTATTTAATTCCCACAACAACCCGGTGGAGTGAATAGTACAGGACGTTGGAATTCAGAGAGGTTAAGCGATTTGCCTTGGGTCACAAAGCCAGTCAATGGCAAAACCAGAGTTTGAACTCAGTTCTTTTGCACTTTACGGCTTGCACCATTAGCCACTGTGATATTCTGTTGCAGTCTCCCTCTTTCCCTCCCTCCCTTTCTTCCTTCCTCTTCCATCCTTCCTACTTTCCTTATTGCCTTCCTGACTTCCTTCTCTTCTTTCTTTGTGCCTGGCATTGTGCTAGGTTTTAGGTTCAGAAATAATCAGACTATACCTCTGCTCTTAGGATTTTCAGTGTAACAAAGAAGCTCAAAATCACAGCAGTGGGTATCTGGAACCATGACAGGGTGTGTCCAAGAAGGAGCAAGAAGGCTCACGTATTCAGTACCAGGTATAGGCAGGCACAATCCTGGGGCTGTCCAAGTTAGAAATTCCAGCTGTTCATTGGTTTAATCTGGGCTTTTGTGAACTTGGGTGAGGCGTTGGCTTTGCTGTCTCTCGGCAACCCCCCTGTCCGGACAGTTTCTCCCTACCCTGCTATTTGGCAACACCTGGGCTATATTCTGGCAGGTGCTGGGCTGGGGGTAATATAACTGCTGCTTCATTAATGTTGGGGCATAGGCTACCACCTGAGCCTCAGGAATGAAGGAGGTGCCCAAAATGTACTGAACATTCCCATTTCCAGCCAGCCAACCAAAGAATGGGGACAATGAGCTCATCGGAGGCTGCCTCTCTTCTATAGGCTTCATCCACTGCTCAGAGATGATGGGGAGCAGTGACAGCCTCCTCTATGGCTGCGGGCTTGGGAGATCAGAACATTCCACCCTCTGATTTTACAGATGAGGAGCCTCAGAGGGAGAGGGCTTCATCTCAGGGTACACAGAAGTGAAGAGAGAGGTAGGAGTCAGTGGCACCAGGTTTCTGCATGTCCAGGGAAACGATCCATCTCATCTACCTACCAGAATTCTAAAAGGGAATCTTGCCTATTCCCTGTGTGTGTGCAGGGAGATGTCAGTGAGATCCAATGCCTTTATCTAACAGTTAAGAAAACTGAGGCTGAGAGAGGTGGAGTAACTTGTCCAAGGTCACACAGCAGCTTAGTGGCATTTACTGTGTTTCTACTATATGAACAGCATTCTCTTGGACTCTCTGTACAGCTTTCCTTTCTGGACCCCAATAGCCCAAGTAGTTTGATAGGATGTGGTGGATTTTTTTTTTTTTTTTTTTTTGAGATGGAGTCTCGCTTTGTTGCCAGGCTGGAGTGCAGTGGCGCTATCTTGGCTCACTGCAACCTCTGCCTCCCGGTTTCAAGCAATTTTCCTGCCTCAGCCTCCCGAGTAGCTGGGACTATAGGTGCGCACCACCACACCCAGCTAATTTTTGTATTTTTAGTAGAGGCGGGTTTTCACCACGTAGGCCAGGATGGTCTTGATCTCTTGACCTTGTGATCCACCCGCCTTGGCCTCCCAAAGTGCTGGGATTACGGGCGTGAGCCACCACGCCCAGCCAGGATGTGGAATTTAATTTCAAGTACAAAAGGAAGAGAGGATGAAATGGGTTAGGTGCAGAAATACTGATATTTCTGCAACATTTTTAAATGACAGTTGACAAAACAGGACAAAATGTTGGGAATCAGGACTATAATGTGAAAAGAACAATAGCCAGTGTTATGGATTCAATTGTGTACCATCCAAAAGATAAGTTGCAGTCCTGACCCCCAGTACCTGTGAAGGTGACCTTTTTTTTGGAAATAAGATCTTTACAGATGTCATCAAGTTGAGGTCATTAGGGTAGGCTCTCATCTAATGTAACTGGCATCCTTATGAAAAGAGGAAAATTTGGACACAGACATATGGAAGAATGAAGGTAGAGATGGGGGTGATGCATCTACGGGCCAAGGAAGGCCAAGGATTGCCCGCCATCACCAGAGCTGGGAGAGCAGCCTGGGACCGATTCTCTCCCACAGTCCTCACAAGGAGCTGCCCCTGCTAACATCTTGGTTTCCAGCCTCTAGTCTCCAGGCCTGTGAGAGAATAGCTTTCTGTTGTTTTAAGCCACCCAGTTTGTAATCCTTTGTTATGGTAGCCCTGGGAAACCAACATAGCTGCCTCTTATTAACTGATTACTTTGTGGGGCACTTCCATTTGTTGATTTAACCAATATTTATCATGCATCTATGTGCTGGCCGCCATCCTGGGTGATAGAGAAACAGCAGGAGCCAGAGAGGACAGGTTCCTCCCTTCCCGACGCATACTTTCTAGTTTACATGCATTATCTCCAGCCAGCATCCCCACAGCAATCCTATGAAACAGGGATTATTCTCCCTTAATGTGTAGATAAGGAAATGGACTCTTAGGGGTTAGTAACAGGGCCAGGGCCTCTCTTGTGGGAAGGAGTCAGCTGGACTTGCTATGTTCTAACTCAGTTGATTGCATAGATGCAGGACTGCCAAGATAGACTCTGGGGGAGAGATGGGTGAGACAGGTAGGAGTGTGGATTCCAGGGACACACTCTGCTCAGCACGTGAGAGGCACAGAGTGGGCCCTGCTCCTAAAGTCACAGCACAGCCCAAACAATTACCTCTCAGCCCCCAGCCTCACAGGGGCTGCACAGGACACGTGAGAAGAGAGGTCGCTTGCACCTCCGTTCTGACTCCGTGGTCCTCCCACTACTGTGGAGGAGGAGGCTGAGGATGCCTGCTTGCTGTAAGGAAGGAAAACCATGGCCCTGACCGTTGGCAGCTGACAGCTAGACCAGAGTATTCTCACCTATGCACGAGCGTTTACAGAATATCAGCAATAATCAGACCAGCTCACTCTGTGATCATGGTGGAAGGAGATGGAGACAAGGGCACGCGGTGATTCTATCTGGACAGAGAGGCAAGGACGCTCTGCAACCACAAAAACTCAACATCCCCTCTTCCAGCTGATTCGAGTGATGACTGCTGCTTCTTTACTAACAGCAGCTCTATGCCTGCTTCATTCCTTCTACCTCTTGTGTAAAGATTATTAAGATCCCCAATCATCAAACTGCCCCTACTTCCTGACAGCATCAAATGCAGAACAAGCCTTTCTTAAACCTTTCCCCAACAACCTAACACAGGCCTAAACCTCATAACAAGCCCCTCCCAACTCCCTTTTCCTGAGATGTCCCGGGTTCTCCTGGTACATTTTTCTGTTGCTGCGGCATGCTAATACACTCTTTCCACCTATGAGTATGTGCTCAGGGGTCTTTGGCTGGTGGGATTTAACAGAGCCGTGCCTCACTCCGTGGAGACTGGCATCTTGGCCCCTACCACTGGGCTAGGTGGTGGTGAGAGGTGATCGCCCCTGTCGGGGGCAGGGGTCCCAGCAGTCTGTGGAAATCCCTCATGCCAGGCCTCGCCCACCCGAGCAGGTGCTCACCTCCTGTGGCGGAGTGGTTTGGCGGAGCCGGAGCCACACACCATGGGGCGTCTCTGAACTCTACTCAGATAAAGTCATTCTGCCTTGAGTGCTGACTGCTCAGCACATTTTTCTGAGTATTAAAATCACTGAAAAAGACAATGAGAAATCCCGAGGAGGGCTGTGCTATTCCCCAGCAGCAAAGCTATTAAACTTGCAAGTCTCAGTTCTGAGCCATCTGATGGGTCGGAAGCCGCCCAGCCTCATGCGTCCTGGTTAAAGCAGTTAGTTCCAGTTAGAGATGTGCTTGCAGAAGGATCAATCACCCTTTCTGACAGTTTCTTCCAAATTAAAAGAGGCAGAGAAGGACAGAAAAAGAGGCACATCCCAAAGTCTGAACTCACAGAGTGGGGCCTGTGTCGACTATAGCTCTATCTTATCAAACGGGCACTCTACATAGACTGTGGGCCCGCCTACCCTTCAGGGTTCTGGGACAGGACTAACTCGGGCCTTATAGATGAATGTGACAGGAAGTTTTTAAACAGTATTTTAGGGGTAGAAACAACACTGAATTGATCCTGGCTGGAACACTAACTGTGGCCTCAGTTTCTTTATCTGTAAAATGGGTATTACGGGCTGAATCGTGTCCTTCCTCCCCCAAATTCCTGTGCTGAAATCCTAAGGCCCAGTACCCCAGAATGTGACTGTATTTGGAGAAAGGGTCTTTAAAGAGGTAATTCGGTTAAAATGAGGTCCTGACGGTGGGCCCTACTCCAAGATGCCTGGTGCCCTTCTGAGAAGAGGAAGTTTGGACACAGATGTACAGAGGGAAGCCTGTGTGAGGACACGGGGTGAAGATGCCCTTCCATGAGCCAAGGAGAGAGGCCTCAGAAGAAACAATCCTGCTGACACCTTGATCTTGGACTTCTGGCCTCCAGAATAGGGAGAAAATGCCTTTCTGTTGTTGAAGACAGTCCATGGGCCTTTGTTCTGGCAGCCCAAGGTGACAAATACACTGCACATAATCCCATCTTCCTAGGTAGCCCCGTATGTTATGGAGAGGCCCAAATTAAGACAGAGAGTGAAAGTTCTTGTTAACGTTTGCAGACGTCACGCAACACAAGGGTCATATCAGAGGCCTGCAGTTCAGTGAAGACTGTGGATGGTTTTATCCTCATGAGTCTTACGGAAGTAAATGATTTTGTTAGGGAAGGAACATGATTTTGTTAGGAAAAACATAGGTATGTTCTCAGTGGTCTTTGGCTGGTGGGATTGAGCAGGGACATGCCTCACAGAAGATGAACCCAGAGAACTCCCAGAGTGCCTGTGCCCATTCCGGGGGGTGGCTGGATCTGGGCCAACTGCACCCAGGAATTCAGGGGCCTACCCAAGGCTGTCCCTGGAGACGTTCCTGGCCTGGGTGGGCTGGATGCTGCCATGAGCGCCTCATTTCCCAGGCAATCTCCTCAGGGACGCTGGGTACCCACACCCAGTGAACTCCCGTGACCTCCCGGGGCTTCTCCTCCTTGTCCCAGTTACTCCTCATGTGAGAGCAATGGTTTCATCTTCATTGCGCAGATGAACAAAACAAGGCCCGTGTTTCCCTGGTGGGTGAGTGATAATAAATCTCTCCATCACCTAACCTTTCTCCTCAGAGCTGGAGAAAGGTTACCTGGGGGGTGGGAATGAAGATGATGAAAATGAAGTAAAGTTGAAAGCTGGGAATGGTACCTGGAAGTACTCTGGGCAGTAGGGCTAGCAGTAGGAGCTGAGGAGGTGGGAAGAGAGGGGAGAGAACAGGGGTGAGTAGAGGGGAGAGGACAGGGGTGAGTAGAAGGTAGAGGGCAGGGGTGAGTTAAGGCGAGAGGGCATGGGGGACTAGAGGGGTGAGTAGAGGGGAGAGGATAGGGATGAGTAGAGGGGAGAGGACAGGGGTGAGTAGAATGGAGAGGATAGGGTCTAGTAGAGGGGTGAATAGAGGGGAGATGACAGAGGTGAGTAGAGGGGAGAGGACGGGTGAGTAGAGGGGAGATGGCAGGGGTGAGTAGAGGGGAGAGGACAGAGGTGAGTAGAGGGGAGAGGACAGAGGTGAGTAGAGGGGAGAGGACGGGTGAGTAGAGAGGAGAGGGCAGGGGTGAGTAAAATGGAGAGGATAGGGTCTAGTAGAGGGGTGAATAGAGGAGAGGTGACAGAGGTGAGTAGAGGGGAGAGGACGGGTGAGTAGAGGGGAGATGGCAGGGGTGAGTAGAGGGAAGAGGACAGGGTTGAGTAGAGAGGAGAGGGCAGGGGTGAGTAGAGGGAAGAGGACAAGGGTGAGTAGACGGGAAATGGCAGGAGTGAGTAGAGGAGTGAGTAGAGGGGAGATGGCAGGGGTGAGTAGAGAGGAGAGTAGAAGGGAGAGGGAAGGGATGAGTAGAGGGGAGATGGGAGCGAGGGAAGGGATGAGTAGAGGGGAGAGGGCAGGGGTGAGTAGAGGGGAGAGGGTAGGGGTGAGTAGAGAGGAGAGGATGAGGGTGAGTAGAAGGGAGAGGGTGGGGTGAGTAGAGGGGAGATGGCAGGGGTACGTAGAGGGGAGAGGGCAGGGTGAGTAGAGGGGAGAGAACGGGGTGAGTGGAGGGGAGATGGCAGGGCCGAGTAGAGGGGTGAGGACAGGGGTGAGCAGAAGGGAGAGGGCAAGGGTGAGTAGAGGGGAGAGGACACGGGTAAGTAGAGGGGAGAGGACACGGGTAAGTAGAGGGGAGAGGCGGGGTGACTAGAGGGGTGGATAGAGGAGAGATGGCAGGGGTGAGTAGAGAGATGAGAGAGGGGAGAGGGCAGGGGTAAGTAGAGGGGAGAAGGCAGGGGTGAGTAGAGGGGAGAGGGCAGGGCTGAGTAGAAGGGAGAGGGCAGGGATGAGTTGAGGGGAGATGGCAGGAAGGAGTAGAGGGGTGAGTAGAGGAGAGAGGGCAGAGGTGAGTAGAGGGGAGACAGCAGGGTGCATAGAGGGTGAGTAGAGGGGAGAGGACGGGGTGAGTAGAGGGCAGAGGACGGGTGAGTAGAGGGGAGAGGGCAGGGATGAGTAGAGGGATGAGTAGAGCAGAGGGGGCGGGGTGAGTAAAGGGGAGAGAACAGGGCTGAGTAGAGGGGAGAGGACAGGGGTGAATAGAAGGGAGAGGGCAGGGGTGAGTAGAAGGGAGAGTGTAGGGGCAAGTAAAGGGGTGAGTAGAGGTGAGAGGGCAAGGGTGAGTAGAGGGGAGAGGATGGGGAGAGTAGAGGGGTCAGTAGAGGGGAGAGGGCAAGGGTGAGTAGAGGGGAGAGGACAGAGGTGAGTAGAAGGGAGAGGACAGGGGTGAGTAGAGGGGAGATGGCAGGGGTGAGTATAGGGGAGATGGAAGGGGTTAGTAGAGGGGAGATGGCAGGGTGTATAGAGGGATGAGTAGAGGGGAGAGAACAGGGGTCAGTAGAGGGCAGACACAGGACAGGGATGAGTAGAGTGGTGAGTAGATGGGAGATAGCAGGCATGAGTAGAGGGGAGACGACAGGGTTGAGTATAGGGGAGAGTAGAGGGGAAAGGGCAGGGGTGAGTAGAGGGGAGAGGGCAGGCATGAGTAGAGGGGACAGGACAGGGGTGAGGAGAAGGGAGAGGACGGGTGAGTAGAGGGGAGAGGACAGAGTTGAGTAGAGGGCAGAGGACAGGGGTGAGTAGAGGAGAGAGGACAGGGGAGAGGGCAGGGTTGAGTAGAGGGGTGAGTAGAGCGGAGGGGGCAGGGGTGAGTAAAGGGGAGAGAACAGGGCTGACTAGAGGGGAGAGGACAGTGGTGAAGGGGGAGGGCAGGGGTGAGTAGAGTGAGAGAACGGGTGAGTAGATGGGACATAGCAGGGGTGAGTAGAGGGAAGATGGCAGGGTGTGTAGAGGGATGAGTAGAGAGGAGAGGACAGGGGTGAGTAGAGGGGAGAGGACGGGGTGAATAGAAGGGAGAGGGCAGGGGTGAGTAGACGGGTGAGCAGAGGGGAGAGGTCAGGCGAGTAGAGGGGAGATGGCAGGGCTGAGTACAGAGGTGAGTAGAGGGGAGAGGGCAAGCGTGAGTAGAGAAGAGGGCGAGGGTGAGTAGAGGGGAGAGGGCAGGGGTGAGTAGAGGGAAGAGGGCAGGGGTGAATAGAGGGGAGGTGGTAGGAGTCAGTAGAAGGGTAAGTGGAGGGGAGATGGCAGGGATGAATAGAGGGGAGATGGCAGGGTGCATAGAGGGATGAGTAGAGGGGAGAGGACAGGGGTGAGTAGAGGGGTGAGTAGAGGGGAAATGGCAGGTGTGAGTAGAGGGGAGATGACGGGTAAGTAGAGGGGAGAGGGCAGGGATGAGTAGAGGGGTGAGTAGAGCGGAGGGGGCAGGGGTGAGTAGAGCGGAGGGGGCAGGGGTGAGTAGAGGGGAGAGAACATGGCTGAGTAGAGGGGAGAGGACGGGGTGAATAGGGAGAGGGCAGGGGTGACTATAGGGGTGAGTAGAGGGGAGAGGACAGGAGTGAGTAGAGAGGAGAGGACAGGGTTGAGTAGAGGGGAGAGGACAGGGGTGAGTAGAGGGGTTTGTGGAGGGGAGAGGGCAGGGTTGAGTAGAGGGGTGAGTAGAGGGGAGAGGACACGGGTGAGTAGAGGGGAAAGGACAGGGGCGAGTAGAGGGGAGAGGGCAAGGGTGAGTAGAGGGGTGAGTAGAGCAGAGGGGGCAGGGGTGAGTAGAGGGGAGAGGACAGAGGTGAGGGGAGAGGGCAAAGGTGAGTAGAGGGGAGAGGACAGAGTTGAGTAGAGGGGAGAGGATGGGGAGAGGACGGGGGAGAGGGCAGGGTTGAGTAGAGGGGTAAGTAGAACAGAGGAGGCAGGGCTGAGTAGAGGGGAGAGGACTGGGGCAAGTAGAGGGGAGAGGACAGGAGTGAATAGAAGGGAGAGGGCAGGGATGAGTAGGGGGGTGAGTAGAGGAGAGAGGACAAGGGTGAGTAGAGGAGAGATGGCAGGGGTGAGTAGAGGGGAGATGGCAGGGTGAGTAGAGGGGTGAGCAGAGGGGACAGGGCAGGAGTGAGTAGTGGGGAGAGGACAGGGATGAGTAGAGGGGAGAGGGCAGGTGTGAGTAGATGGAAGAGGGCAGGGGTGAATAGAGCAGACGTGGTAGGAGTGAGTAGAGGGGTAAGCGGGGGGGGGGTGGCAGGGTGAGTAGAGGGGAGAGAATAGGGGTGAGTAGAGGGGAAATGGCAGGGGTAAGTAGAGGGGATAGGGCAGTGGTGAGTAGAGCAGAGATGGCAGGGTGAGTAGAGGAGTGAGTAGAGGGGAGTGAGACAGCGGTGAGTAGAGGGGTGAGTAGAGACGAGATGGCAGGTATAAGTAGAGGGGAGAGGACAGGGCTGAGTAGAGAGGAGAGGGGAGAGGGCAGGGGTGAGTAGAGGGGTGAGTAGAAGGGAGAGGGCAGGGGCAGGTAGAGGGGTGAGTAGAGGGGAGAGAGCAGGGGTGAGTAGAGGAGAGAGGGCAGGGGTGAGTAGAGGGGAGAGGGCAGGGGTGAGTATAGGGGTAAGTAGAGGGGAGAGGGTAGGGGTGAGTAGAGACGGCAGGGGTAAGTAGAGGGGAGAGGACGGGTGAGTAGAGGGGTTTGTGGAGGGGAGAGAGCAGGGGTGAGTAGAGGGGTGAGTAGGGGAGAGAGGGCAGGGGTGAGTAAGGTGAGAGGACGGGGTGAGTAGGGGGGACAGGACAGGGGTGAGTACTGGGTTTTGTGGAGGGGAGAGGGCAGGGGTGAGTAGAGGGATGAGTAGGGGAGAGAGGGCAGGGGTGAGTAGAGGGGAAAGGGCAGGGGTGAGTAAGGTGAGAGGACGGGGTGAGTAGAGGGGAGAGGATGGGGGGAGTAGAGGGGTTTGTGGAGGGGAGAGGGCAGGGGTGAGTAGAGGGGTGAGTAGGGGAGAGAGGGCAGGGGTGAGTAGACGGGAGCGGACAGGGATGAGTAGGGCGTGAGTACAGGGGCCAGGCAGGCGTGGGCAGTTACATTCAGCAGGGGACTTTGTCTTCTGCATAATTTTTCCCAGAGCCTGCTGAAATGCGGGGGCTTTCTAACTTCCACACTGTAGTGTTATTTAGTTAGCGCTTATTTAGATGGTTATTCGTTGGTCCTGCAATAAACATGTAACTAAAAAGGACAAGTTGTTTTCCAGTGGTGGTCAGTTTGGTGGTGGAGATTTCCACTCCTGTGCCCTGCATTCACTCCCTCCTGAGGACTGCTGAAATCACTTCTCGTTTCTGCTGAATAATGCACTTGTGACAGCCAGCTCTACTAGCTCGTTTACAACCAGATCAATGAGTCTTTATGTGCTTTTCCCCAGCCAGACGACAATAAACTAGGTTTTATTTGCCTAAATTGAGTCCTCAAATTCGGTGGATCAGCATAAACCCTCTGGGAGAGCGCTGGGGACCCTGAGTAACATTCTGCTTGGTTCAGCCATTCTTTCACTAATTCCCCCGTAAAAAGCCACCACATTTGTCCTCAGCACTTGTGCCAGCTGCCTGGATTAGTTTTAATTTAGCTCTTCTGGAGAGTGTAGCCCTTTAGAACATCTTTCCTATTGCTCTTCTGTACGCTTGTTTAATTTGGCTGGGTTTGTTTTGAGAGGAGCTGTGGAGATGGGTCTTCTCTCCCACCGGGACACGTCAGTAGAAAGGTTCTCTTGCTTCCGTGGAGTTCTGAAGGCTTCCCCTGCCCCAAGACCTGATAGGAATTACTGCTTCCCCCACCCCAAAAGCCACTGACAGGACTTTTATTTATTACTGCATATTTTATTTAAGGTAAAACCTCCAAACAGTGTCAAAGAGTATATACCCCAAAGTAAGCCTGCTCCTGCCCTGTCTCCAGCCCCAGCCCTCTCACCAGAAGCCTCCACTGTCCGCAGCCCCTATGTGTGCTTCCAGAGAGGGTCTGCCCTCCACTTTCTAAGAAACAGAAATAGTAGCAGAGCACAGACGTGGTTACTCAGATACATTCTGGCGCCAGCTCCACGTCAGTATCTAACCAGCATCCTGGTTCTCTTCTCACAGCGGCAGAGGATTCTGCTGCGTTGTTTCTCTGTGTCAGACATTGCAGCCGCTTCCTGTCTCACTGCTGGTCTGGAATTTCAGAGAACCCCTGAGCTGGAGTTCTGAATTGAAACCTGGAGCCTGTCTGGTTCCACATTCACCTTTCACCACCGGCCGTTTCTTGAACACCCGCTGTGTGTCGAGGTATGCCTCCCTGTGCCAGGCTCTGGAAGTGGAGAGGGAGGGAGACAGAGCAGTGGCCCCGGCAGAGCTGGCGCTTGGTAGGAGGCCTGCCCGGCACCCAGACTGCCCTGAGGACGCCATGCCCGGCTCCCACCTTGGTCCACGCGGGGCCCCGCTCTGAAGGGCCATCTTCTGGCATCTTCCTTGGGACCCACATTCAGTCCCCACTTCCTGGGGCACCCTTGCTGAGAACTAATCAATACCCTGCTCTTTCTGGAAACTCCCACAGCGTATGTCGGTTGATCAACGCGCTCATGTAAGCAGCTGTTTGTGTTACTGCTCACTTAATGTATGTCTTCAAGTTTATTCAATTCCACAAACTTAAAGCATTGATTATGTGCCAGGCGATTTACACACATCATTTCATTTACATTCCTGCACCAACCCGATGAGGTAGGTCTTCTAGCTGCATTTTTACAAAAATTTCAAATGTCAGTCACAAGAAATCTGTTATAGTGGACCCCCATATATGCATCACCCAGCTTCCTTGATTATAAGCACGTGGCCTATTTTGTTTTACTTGTGCCCACACGTCTTGCCACTCTGCCTGAGATTATTTTCAACAAATCCCAGACATCATATTATTTCTTCTTCAAATATTTCAGCCTGTACTGGCAAATTATAAGAATGCTTTAAAAAGAACACATGACTTCACAACGATGATCACGTCTAAAAATTAATAATACTTTCGTAATACTTTCTCAATTATCAAATAGTGTTTATCTTTTCTCGTGTCTAATATATTTTTTAATTGTTTGGATAGTGATCCAAATAAAGCCCATTTTGATGGGCTGATATGTTAATTTAGTCTCTTTTACTGTATAGATTTCTCTTACCATCTTGCTTCTTTCCCTTGCAATTTTTATTTGTTAAAAAATTGGGTCTTTTGTCTTATAGTTTCCCAGAGTTTGGATTTTGCTGGTTTCATCTCTATAATAATACTTTTATTATTTTCCTTATGACTGTCTAGTTGTCTAAATATCACTTATTAAAAAGTCCACCCTTCCCTCTATTGGCTTCAAGTGCTGCCTTTATTAAAACTAAATTTCCAGACACAGTAGAGCTTACTATAGAATTAACCCGTTCATCTGACCCCCTTCTTTTCTGTAAATTAGTAGTTTTATCTTGAGGCTTAATCATATTCAGGTTTTTTGTTTGTTTGCAAGACTACTTCATAGGTGGTGATGTGTACTCCACCAGGAGATGCAGAACGGCTGCTGGTCGCATTTTGTGAAGGTCATAGCCATTTGATTATTGTTATTGCCTAGAGCCATTGTTTTATTATAGATATAAATAAAATTAATAATTCTATTATTTTTCTTTATTAGCTGGAATACATCTATAAAAAGATAATTCCTCTCTTTATTTATTTTTCTTACTGGATATACCTATAGGTCTTATAAGAAAGGCAGGAAAATGCTTTATTTTCTCTCATTATTTACCAGTTTTAAAAATGAGTTGGTTCCTCAGTGGGCTCCAAAGGTGATTAATTAGTTTTTTTTTTTTTTTTTTTCGGTGTTATACTGACATATTTGATGGATTTCAATCTATTGCAGTTAATGTTCTTAATAATATTCTTTTAAAAATTGATGGATCATGCTTTTATTCTATAACTGACTTACTTTAATATTTGAAAACTGTAAATGACATTTTGTCTATTTCCCAAGAGGGGAGCTAACAGGTCTCTATGGATTCACTTGGAAGTGGCTCACAAGTCTTTCTTTAAACTTTAAAACATCTCTAAACTTTTACATTCTTTACTATTAAGGCAAAAAGGCAGTTCAAGTTCAATCAGAATTTCATGTTCAATTGCTTCACATAGTCACAATATTAAAAGCTCTGAATGTGTGACTTAGGTCCAGCGGTTAGAAAGGTATTTTCAGCCTGGCGAGATGTGCTTTGCTGCTGGGCTGCAGCTCATTTGTGCTGTCACCATGGGATTGGCTACTGTAGCGCTCAGAGGACAGCTCTGGTTCCACAGACTCCTGTCCGCCCACGGACTCCTGTCCGCCCACGGGCTGCACACAGGCAATAGGTTTCTGTAACATTGAACTGAACTTTGACATCAACGAAGGTGGGAAAGACTGATTTGAGTGCTGCCCACTTGGAAAAGATACGTGAGAGGGAGAATCCCCGTTTGCATTAGGGTCCCCAGGTGATTTGGAGCGCTGATATTCCTTGCTATGCTGATCATTCCCATGAGAGCTGGAATGACTGGAGCTTAACGAAGAGACAGCCTGGGGTTTCCCAGGGCTGGAAGAGCGCGGCTTGGAGTGCTGTGATCCATGCTGACATTTTTCTCTGGTCTTCTGCTCCCACTACTGCTATGTGAGTCACAGTCATGTCTCTGGCCACGACTGTTAGTGCCACTGCTGCCACCTGCACCGGTCTACTGGCTACTATGTCCACTCTGTAAGCCTGAGGACTGTTTCTGGGACAGAAATGCTGGGTGCAGAGGTCCTACTGGGGTCCATTTTCATCTGTTATAGGTGGTACCGTAGGCTTGGAAACTGCAATAAGCCTTGGTATAGATTTGTCTCCTATAAAATCTTTCATTTCACCATAGTTTCCAAGCCTACTCTGGATACAACTCGATAACTTATCTTCCTTGCTAGTAGTTTTGTATGGCTCAGCAAAGAGAAGAGAGCTAGGTGGGAAGGCAACTTCGTCCTGTTGAATTTCCTGATCCCGCCTTTCTTGTTCTTTCATACCCGCCACGGTCCGGGCTTTATGGTTCATGTTGCTTATCTTGACTTCTTTTTCTCCCCAGTGCAGCCTCCTTGGTGTCCATCCTTATGGCAGTTGGACCTCAGCTTTGCTGTTGCTTTAGATTCCACAGCATGAGGTGTAGAAGAGTCCTGAGCACAGGAGTTCTGTCCCCATGGAGTTGGGGTAGCCACCCTCCCAGCACATGGATGTCTTCTTGTTCACCTTACTGGAAGCCCTGATAATATTCTTATTGATTCCCAACCATCTTTGGTTAGTGGGAGCTTCTTTGAATTGACTCCTAAGTCTTCTGACATGACTGTAGTAGTTTTTCATAGCGTCCTTGCTTTCTGGTATGACAAGGTGTTTCAGACTCGTCTTGAATATTTCCTATCCTCGAACCTGGATTCAGCCATTTCTACAAGGAGCCCCCCATTCTTTTAGTGAAAGATGGTTGTTAGAGACCCAAATCTGAGGCTAAAAATGTTCATTGTCGCTAAGTTGGCCATTGCTTCTAGATCTTTTCAGTGGTCAGACTTGGAAATAGGCATATATTTATTTTCATGATCACATATATCATGACTTTATATTGATAATTCTGATTTAAATTCAAGACTAAAGAATTGTCACTAAACGTCATGCATCTTACAACTGTATCTCCTTTCACTCACATTCAAGTCTCAGTTTTCAATAACACAAATATAGTTACTCTCTTACTCTGTCCCACAGTACACACACACACACACACACACACACACACCAGTGTCAGAATAACAGTGCCAGTGCTACCACCACCAATGTGATTACTGAAAAATTGTTGGGTTTTTTTCTGTTGTCTTTTGCATCTCCACTAGGAATGTACAGTTAAATTCCTGTGGTTTAAAAAGCCACTTGGAATAGTTCTTCTTCGTGTGACTATGCTATCAACTTGGTACATAGCTGGATTCATTTGTTTCTTTTTATTTTTGATTCTTAGAATTGGCTTTCTGAAATCTATTTTTGTTATACAATTCTGTAAAATATTTTCATGGTTCCAAAGTCATCTCCACATAACAAGATAAATTAGAAGAACTCTAGTGCCCTACCTTTCCCTGCTACTTTTTCCCCTCCACCCTCCTATAAGTAACATTTAAAAATACTTATGGTTTGTTTTATTCCATTTTTTCAATGTAAACACATATGTATGTATATATTCATATCCTTCCCTTTTCTTAGCTAGATGGTAGAATGAAATACACACTCTTTCCATCTTGCCTTTTAGCTCAATAACATATCCTGGAGATCATCACTCCATAGTAGCTATAGAGCGATTTCTTGTTCCTTTGCAGATGCATCATGGTTTATTCAACGAGTCCCCTCCTGGGAGGTATTTGGATTTTTCCAGTATTTTGGTATTACAGATAGGATTGCAGTGAACAGCTTTGTACATACTTCTTGTTCATATTTTTGCCAGTGTGTCATTGGGAGTGTGTCCTAGAAACAGGACTGCTGGGTCAAATTATGTATACATAAATGCCTATATAATTTGTCTAGATGTTGCCAAATTTTTCTCCATAGGGGTTGTAACATTTTCTATTCCCATCAACACTGTATAAACTTGCCTGTTTCCCTAGAGCTTCACCAACAAATAGTTTGACATACTTTTAGAGTTTTGCTAATTGGATAGGTAAAAGTGGTATCTCAGGTAGATTTTAAAAATTTCTCTTATTATGAGTGCAGTTGAGACATTAGGAGCCATTTTCATCTATTTTTTGTGTCAACTGTCTGTTCATATCTCTAACATTTAAAAATAAAAGAGTGCTATCGGCTTTTTTTAACCTCAAATTTTAAATGCTGTGTATAAAATAGGGCTATTTTAACCTTTTGTATCCTACATTGCATTTTTTTTTCTAGTTTGTCATTTATCTTTTAATTTTGCTTATGGTGATATTTTGAAATGCAACATTTTAAAATTTTTCTTAATCAAATTTATCAATATTTTCCTTTGTTGCTTTTGTATTTTGAATTGTAACAAGAAAAATTTTTCCCACATCCAAGTTATAAAGGAATTCACCTATGTTTTCTACTTGTATGGTTTCATTTTTGATTTTATATCTAGGATACATTTAGAACTGACCCTAGGGTACAGCAAGAAATGGATCTAATTTTATTATTTTCCTTATGACTATCTAGTTGTCTGAATATCACTTATTAAAAAGTCCATCCTTCCCTCTATTGGTTTCAAATGCTGCCTTCATCAATACTCAATTTCCAAACACAGTAGAGCTTACTATAGAATGTTCTATTCTGTTCCATGGTTTTCTCATCTTTTTTGTGCCAACGCTAAACTATTTTAATTACAGAGACTTTATAATATGTTAATGTCTGGCGGGGCTGCTGGTCCCCTCCCCAGCCTCCTCCCCTCCACTCTTTCTTAGTTTTTCTTTCCTGGCCATTCTTGTCTTTCTGTTCTTACAAAGGGAATTTAAAATCAACTCATCTAACTCTAGAAAAAAAAATGGAATTTTAAAAATTAGGATTGCATTAAATTGATACATTAACTTAGGGAGAAGAGACATCTTTATGCTATTGAGTCTATTTGAGTGCATGGTGTTTCTTTCCATTTGTTCAAGACTATTTTGTGTGTTTCAGATAGATTTGATTGTTGTCTAATATAGACTTTGGACATTTCTGAAGTTTAGAGGTGATTCATCTTACGCTATCATAAATAAGATTTTCTCATCTCTTTTATCTTTTTGTTTATATATAAATAGCATTGTTTGTTATTTGTTTTGAGATGGCCCTTGCTTTGTTGCCCAGGCTGGTCTTGAACTCCTGGGCTCAAGCAATCCCCCTGCTTCACCCTCTTGAATACCTGGGACTACAGGTTTGTACCACCATGCCCAGCAGCATTTATTTATTTATTTTTCTTTTAGAGACAGGGTCTTGCTCTGTCACCCAGGCTGGAGTGCAGTTGTAGAATCATGGCTCACTGCAGCCTCAACCTCCCAGGCTCAAGTGATCCTTCTGCCTTGGCCTCACAATGTACTTGGATTACAGGCATTTGCCCACATGCCCAGCCTCAGCATTGCTTTTTGATGTTATTTTATAACGTGCTACTTCACTAAATCATCTTATTTTTTGTCGTATAGTTTTTACATTGTTCCTTCTGGGATTTCCAGAAAGACCAAATTTTTCCCTCTTTCTTTCCAATTCTTATACCAAGTACTTTCTCTTGTCTAATCATATTGACTACTGCCTCTAACCAACGAGAGAGAGCGGGCATCTTTTTCTCATTCTTAATTTCTGTGGAAGGCCTAGTGTTTCCTTCTTAGAGATATTTTATCATGTCAAAGGAAGTCTCTAATCATCCTCATTATTCAGATGAGAAACTGAGATGCAGAGATCAATGAAGACCTTGGCTCAAGATCACACGGTTGGTAGATGGCAAGCGGCAAGGCTAGGGGCTGTCTGGCTTCAAAATCCCCAGTCTTTGCATCACATCTAATTTTCCCTAGTTTTCATGGAAAACTGACCCCACCCCCTGTCTTCCATTTCCCAACATGGAACTCACATTTTAAGAGATCTTAAGAGGTTTAAGAGTGGCCGAGTGTGGTGTATGAGAGGGGCATGGAAAGAGGCCCTGAGTGCCACACCCTAGTCTCCCTCTGTTTTCTTTAGCAGTTCTCTTGCTTTCCAGACACATTCAACTTCCAGAAACCACCTTTCTTAGAAAGCAGCTTAGTGACTGGCTGGGCACGGTGGCTCACGCCTGTGATCCCAATACTTTGGCAGGCCAAGGCTGGTGGATCACCTGAGGTCAGGAGTTTGAGACCAGCCTGGCCAACATGGTGAAACCCTGTCTCTACTAAAAATACAAAAAAAAAAAAAATAGCTGGATATGGTGGTGGGCACCTGTAATCCCAGCTACTTGGGAGGCTGAGGCAGGAGAATCGCTTAAACCCGGGAGGCGGAGGTTGCAGTGAGCCGAGATTGCGCCACAACCTGGGCAACAGAGTGAGACTCCATATCAAAAAATAAATAAATAAAAATAAATAAAGAGGCTTAGTGGCCACCTGTATTATATGAACAAGACCCTTGGGAAGCAGGCTCATGCCTCCTTCTCCCCCTCTCCCATCAAAATATTTCTTCCAATCATATACCTCACTCTTCCTAAGAGGAATGAATCTCTCTAACGGACTTTTCTCTGGTAGCTACATTTCTAACCATACTGTAGTGTCCCTTATAGCTTGGCTGACAAAGAAACCGCCCCACTGGCCTGCTCTGACCAAACAAATTGCACTGATTAAGAAACAGGCTGAGTGACTTTTTCTTGGGGAAATGTGTTCAGGCCTTTGCAGATTATGATTCTGCCCCCATCACCTACTTTCCAGGGATACCAGGTTGTAAATCATGAACAACAAACCCTGTTGCCTTTATTTATTCTCAGTGGAGAAGGATTAGTTCTTGTTTTTTTTTTCTAAAAAGAGAGCCTTCTAGGACCACAAGTTCTGTGGGAGAAACCTGGCCCAGATCTGGATTGCCTGAGTTTCCAGCATGTTCTTCAAGTAGGCAGATTCCCTGAGTATGGGCTGTCTCTGTGCAAGGGACAGAAAGACGGGCTGTGAACAGCAGGAAAAATAGTCAAATCAGGTCCATTTTAAACTCTAATCCTTTGCCTTTCAACAATTTTGATTTCCCATTTTCTCCAGCTGACAGCCTTATCCTTTGGAGGTATAAGCTGCAGTTTTCTCCCATGGAGACCTAGACAAATGTCCTGGCTCCTTAATTTAGAACCTCTGCGCTCCCCTTTCTTCCTCAGGCAGCTTCATTCTCCCCCTGGCTTCAGCTGTTCCTTTTGTTTTGACACCTGGTCTCTGAGGGCTGCTCCTCTGACCCCACTCTCCTTTCATCTGCAGCTCCGAGGCACAAGGCTGCCTTATTCCAAGCTTGTGTTTGGCCTATTTGAGGATGAAAGGGCCTGATGTTGCCATCAGAGCCTATTGTCAGCATCGTTCATTTGGTAAGAAAAGTCAGGAGCACAGAGCAAGGCTGGAGAGGGAAATGGCCCAGGTCTTCCTCAGCCTCTGTAGTTGCCACCTGGGGTTTTTCTGTCCGTTTTCACCACTTAGCGAGGCTTGGAGGTTCTAACACAGCTGAGGAGTGGGAGGAGAGAGGTTTGGAATTGAAACAGAACTTCATATGCATGAACCCTAACTAGGACCAGCTATATAATTTGCGGATCCCAGTGCAAAATGTGGGGCCCCATGTTCAAAGAGCAGGAACAAAGTGCGATTTAAGTTACTCAAATATAATGCTTTTTCCTTTCTTCTGTCATGTTTCAACTTGTTATGGTAATTTTTATCTGCTATTTAATTTCCACTCCCTGGGGAATGGGGATGCTCATGCAGACCTTTATAGGCATCCAGAGGCCTCGCTCCATGATTCTGGGCATGTGCATACCCCACCAATGGCTGCGGTACCTTTCTTACCGGCCATTGGACCGATGTACCATGTCCTGCTGGTGGGGTGGGGTGATAACCCCCAAGAATATTACGACCTCAGTGCCACCTGTAGGTACCTGGGTTGGGGGTGAGCAAGAGGCTTGTCCTCTCCCTCCAGTTGCTGCCACCCAGGGGCTTGGAGCAGGTGTCAGAAGGGGCTCCCAGGGGCAGAGAGGTGGGCCAAGAACCTGTTGTAGGGAGACAGAGGGAGGTAGGACCATTCAAGAGCCCCTGGTCCATACTCCATTGTCCCACAAGACTTCACTTTTAAAACACAAATTCAAAGATAAAACTATTGGCTGGGCACGGTGCCTCATACCTATAATCCAAGCCCTTTGGGAGGCCAAGGCAAGAGGATCTCTTGAGGCCAGGAGCTTGAGGTTGCAGTGATCTCTGATGGCATCGCTGCACTCCAGTGCAGCATCCTATGAGACTTCACTGGTGGTGCACCCATGGAGCCAACCCTGGCCCCAAACTTACATAGTGATATAAGGATGAGGAAGATTCCCCCCTCCCCAGGACGGCCTTCCTGATTCTGCCATGGTGTGAGCCCTCCTGGCACCCTAGTTTCGTGTTGCTTTCCATGATGTGACTCTCTGCACAGTGACAGCAATTGTTTCCCTCCTCCTGGCTCCTCTTCCTGGCTTTTCTGAAAACCTGTCTTTGTCTCCTCTGGGTGGGGGTGAGACAGGCTGTGGGGAGATTCCAGGGGACAGGGGACCCCCACTCCCCAGAATGGCCCCAGGAGCTTTCTGTGCTAGCTGGGGTGGTGATGGCAGGGAGGAGAGCCTGTCTCCTTTCCAACTCTTCTCCCCCTCTGAAAGCAAGAGGAAATGTTGTTTCCCAAACATTTATGGAAATTGTTGCCTGCTCTGACCT
Source organism: Homo sapiens (assembly GCF_000001405.40). Lineage (NCBI taxonomy): Eukaryota > Metazoa > Chordata > Mammalia > Primates > Hominidae > Homo > Homo sapiens. Next base: position 133,403,625 of record NC_000003.12, on the reverse strand, counting down.
TCCCCACTGCTTGCTCCAGCCTGATCCAAGAAAGTGCCACCAAAATGGACATCCCCACCGTGCTATTGAGTGACTGAGGTCTCTCTTGGATTCTCTGTTTGGGGCCCAGGCTAAGGAGGTCGAATTTCTCTCTAGGTGCCAACTTGGGGCTCAGTTGCTGAGAGCTTGCTCTGAGGCCTCAGGCCCTGCATGGGCCCTGAGGAGTCACAGAGGGTTGCCATGGAACTGAGCTGCAGGACCAGGAGGAGTTCTGTGGACAAGGGGGGGAAGAGGCAGCTGCAGGTGGAGAAACAGGAGGGGTAAGGAGTGCTGTGAGGAGCACGGAACACCAGAGCCCAGAGTCTGGAAAGGTGGGCATGAAGCCCCAGCCAGAGTGGCCTAAGTGAGGGCAGAGGGAGAGAGCTCTGGATTTCTGGGGCCCAGGACCGCAGAGTGGCTGCCTCTGACCCCAAGTGAGATGAAGGCAGCGTGTTGTGGAAGGACTGGGCTGGGAGGTGGCCTTTCCTCTAGGCCTGGAAAGGGGTGGGGGCCTGGTGGGGGCCTCCTGCAGCTCCACGAGGCCAGATTCACTGAAAAAATCAGGAGCATTTCTCAATTATGGAGTTTTCTTTTGTTCTTCTTGATGGAATAGAGTTTAATATGGCTGAAAGGCTGGGCTGTGCAATATAGAAAAAGTAACTCCAGGCTGGGCATGGTGACTCACTCCTGTAATCCTAGCACTCTGGGAGGCAGAGGCGGGTGGATCACCTGAGGTCAGGAGATCAAGACCAGCCTGGCCAACATGGTGAAACCCCATCTCCATTAAAAATGCAAAAAAATTAGCTGGGCGTGGTGGCGTGCACCTGTAATCCCAGCTACTCAGGACGCTGAGGCAGGAGAATTGCTTGAACCCGGGAGGTGGAGGTTACAGTGAGTTGAGATCGCACCACTGCACTCCAGCCTGGGTGACAGAATGAGACTCCATCTCAAAAAAAAAAAAAAAGAAATAATAACTCCATTTTATCAATTGGTCTTACTCTATCTTCAAGTCCATGATTTTTTAAAAAAGAAGAAAAAGAGAACTTTATTCATACCCAGGCCCT